>NC_000010.11:82870368-83021883 GCF_000001405.40 Homo sapiens
ATTATGGATATAATTGTTGTAAGCATCTTTGTGCAGGCTTTTGTATAGAAATAAATTTTCAACTTTTTGGTGTAAGTACCAAAAAGCATGACTGCTGGGTCATATGGGAAGGATATGTTTAGTTTTTTTAGAAACTGCCGAACTGAATTCCAAGGTGGCTGTGCCATTTTGCATTCCCACCAGCAATGAATGAGAGTTCCTGTTGCTCCACATGGTCTCCATCATTTGGTGTTGACAGGGTTCTGGATTTGGGTCATTTCAATAGGTATGTAATGGTAACTCACTGTTTCAATTTGGACTTCACTAATGACACTTAATGTGGAGTATTTTTTCATATGCTTATTTGCCATCTGCATATTTTCTTTAGTAAGGTGTCTGCCAAGGTCTTTGGCCCATTTTTTAATCAGTTTGTTTTCTTATTGTTAAGAATTCTTTGTATTTTTGAAAAATGATCCTTTATTAGATATATCTTTTGCAAATATTTTCTGTCATTCTGCGGCTTTTCCCTTTATTCTCTTGACAGTATGCTTTGCAAAGCAGAAATTTTCAATTTTAATAAAGTCCAGATTATAAAATCTTCCTTTTATGTATTGTGCCTTTAACACTGTATCCAAAAAGGGATTGCCAAATCTAGTTTATCTAAATACTCTCATATGTGATCTGCTAGGAGTGTTATAGTTTTGCATTTTGCATTTAGGTCTGTGGTTTATTTTGAGTTAATTTTTGTGAAGAGTGTAAGGTCTGTGTCTAGGTGCATGTTTTATTGAATGTGGATGTCAAGTTGTTCCAGCACCATTTGTTGAAAAGTTTATCTTTTCTCCATTGTATTGTCTTTTCTCCTTTGTCAAAGATCAGCTGACTATATTAATGTGTATCTATTCTGAGTTCTTTGTTCTGTTCCATTAAACTATTTGTCTTTTTTTTTTTTGCCAATACTATACTATTTTGATTACTATAGCTTTATAATAAGTATTGAAGTAAAGTGGGGTCCGTCTTTCAACTTTGTCTTTTAATGTTGTGTTGACTTTTCTGGATCTACTGCCTCTCCCTATAAATGTTAGAATCAGTTTATGAAGATACACAATGTAACTTCCTGGAATTTTTATTGGAATTGCATTAAATCTATAAATGAAGTTGAAAAGAGCTGACATCTTGACAATATTGAGTATTCCTATTCACGAACATGGAATATCTCTTCACTTACTTGGGTTTTATTTTTTAAGTCTTTCATTAGTGTTTTATCATTTTATTTGTATACATCTTTTATTTTGCTAGACTTATACCTAGATATTTCATTTTGGGGGATGCTAATGTAAATGCTATTGTGTTTTTAATTTCATATCATATTTGTTTATTACTGGCATCTAGGAAAATTATTGACTTTACATGTTAACCTAGTATCCTGTTACATTGATATAATCATTTATTTGTTATAGGAATATTTTTAATTTTTAATTTTTGTTAACCTAAGCAATCAGGTCATCTGCAAAGACAGTTTTACCTCTTCCCTTTCCAATCTGTGTACATTTTGTTTCCTTTTCTTATCTTATTTAATTCGCTACAACTTCCAGTATGATGTTGAAAAAGAACAATGAAAGGGGGCAACTTTGCCTCGTTCATAATCTTAATGAGAAAGCTACAAGTTTCTTATCATTAAAAATTATATTAGGTATAGATATTTTGTAGATATTCTTCATCAAGTTGAGAAAGTCCACCTCTATTTCTAGTTAACTGAGAGTTTTTACCATAAATGGGTGTTGGATTTTGTCAAATGCTTTCTTTAAATCTATTGATATGATCGTGTGATTTTTTTAGTCTCTTGATGTGATGGATTACATTAATTATTAATATTGAACCAACTTTGCATACCTGAGATAAATGGATAAATGTCACTTGGTTGTGTTTTCCATTGTTCTATTTTAATTAGTTACATAATACATTTTTTCTCTTACTTTTATTATTCTTGCTTTGAGCAATATGACTTTCATTTATTCTTGAAGAACACAGGGTCACAAGGAGGTAATGATCTGAAGCACACGTCTTCTTCCCAAATCTTTATACTCTCAATGACCAGCTCTATTAGTGAGCTTACTGATCAGTCTCAAAACCAGAATACTTCATACAGTTTAACAAATTCCTGTTTTATAGCAGGAAACTCCAAGTCATATGCTGCAAGAGTTCTATATTTAATTGACATACATTTGTCACATTTACTATATGCCAGATGTATAAGATGTTGGATATGCAGATATATAATACATATCTCTGGATGTCCAAAACCTCTAAAACTAAAAAGAGAAAGCTACACATAAGTGAGGTGACATAATAAGTGCTCTAAAAAAAGTTTAGGCAAGATACGATATGAAAAAAAAAAAGAAAGCAATTGAATGGGCTTGGAAAGTTCAGGAACAGCTTTCCAGGAAAGGGGACACTTAAGCTGAGTATCAGCCAAAGTGGATAAGCTATACTTAGTAATGCCATAGTGCAAATCTATACCGGCCCCATATTGCTCCCACATTAAAGCAAGACTTGCTATTTCAGTCTTTCTTCCTGTATCTATCAGCTTCCGAGAGTCACCACTTTAGGACCGGAAAGAGGATAACAACTTCAGTAAAAACAAGTAACCAAAAAGGTTTTTGAGTAGATTTATTAATTTTAAGGAGTGATTATCCCATTGAGGAAGCCATGCCAAACCTAATGTCTGTAAAACTGTCAACATTCAACATGATTTTTCATTTATATTCCCGAATTTTTCTTAATGATGCTCCTGGGATTGGTACCATGGAAATTTCAACAGCAAATACTGATCTGCAATACGGTGTCAGTTAAAAAATAAAGTTAACTGACATAATTAGAGCAGAAATTTGGAAATGCACACAGAAGCAGAATTGTGTTTGTGAAGTTTTTGAAACAAAGAGAGTTGATAGAAAATCAGTAACCAAAAATATATATCTTAAATTCATGTCTTAACCTCATTCATTCATTCATGCATGAGGGAAAATATAGATTTTTACAGTCAGATGTTTGAAATTTCCTTAACAGTTTGAATAGATCAAGAGATATAATTGACAGACTTCTTCATAAGCCTAAATATTCATGAGTGATGTGAGAAACAACCAATCATTTAGTTTAGGCAGTTGGCCAAAGGGCATGTCAGACTGGCCATTTTGGAAGGTGCAATAATCACGAAGGATTTCTTATCTAACAAATATCTAGCTACTGTGTGTGAAATGTATCTCATTAGGTCCTTTTGAGCTATTTGTTAAGTGGTTATTTTTCTAACAATGTCTTGATGCATTTGATGTTCCAGGCATCAAAGATGTTTATATGAAAGCAGGTGCAATGCCATTTGAAAATGTATTAGCAAGGGACAAGTAGAGTTGAAGATTATGTGGAAGATCTTTAATGCAAATTTCCTTCATTCTCATCGGGTAAACGAAATGAATGCTGTCAGTTAAATATTTTGTCGGTGATTTGACATTGTTTTTAGGATAGCATAATATATTTATGCAAAGTATTGTTTGAGCAAATTCTGGTGTAATTTTTTAAATCAAAAGATGTATAGAACATAGAAAAATAAGATTCTTAATTAAAATCTTAAAAAGTTATTATAAGATAATCTTTGTATTTTTTAAGTTAAAAAAAAAAAGAAACAGTGTTTTCCATATGGAAGGCATAGAAATGTGTTGTACTCAACGTCTGTGATATAAATTATATTTATAGGTTTAGAATTGATAGAATATTACTTCAAACTTGATCGTATATTGGGTATTCTTTCATCCTCTTGTGTAAAGAAAATAGGCTTTAGTGTATTTTAGTGAGCACTGGGGATAATCTCCTAAGAAGTGACCAGTTTAGGATCCTGTTTAGATGATAGGAAGTGGGCTTTTTTCTTCTTAGAGCTACCCTGCATATTGTAAATGACTTGGTGTTTTTCCTTTAAATCTAACAGGCTCATATGTCAGCCAAATGAATTCATATTTCTGTTCTAGTTTGTGAACTGGCGTTAGAGATAGAACTGAGGATTCTTTTTTCCTAAGCTGAAGTCTCTGAAGTAGACTTATTTGGAAAAAAAAAAAAAAGCATTTTCATTCATTTGAATATATTATATTTCTGTATAGAATAAAATGGTAATTTATGGATATATATGCATAGATGTGTGTTTGTGGAGGAGTGCCATTAAAAGAGTTTAGTTTTGCTAGTGTGCCCTTTGCCATGTTAAACTACGTGAGAAATCAGATATAGTGGAAAAACAAAAGTTACATGATCCTTTAAGCTCTCAAAATGAGTGAATGAAGTAGTAACTATTTATATCGCTATCTTACAAATGACAAAACCTGACTACTAATTAGCTGAATTATCTTTCTAAAGAGCAACAAAGTAGCAGATAGGAGTTGAATTCAAATCTGTCTTTCTCCAGAGCTCTTGAATTATTTAGGTGACTAATGGATGAGCAATAGGGCTCCATGTTTCCTCAAAGAGGTTGTACTCTTGCAGTGTTTCAAATGGCAAAGCAGTTCTGTGACTAGTCCTTAGTTTTGAAGGTAATGTTTTCTGAATCCCTTCATGTCATAAGGATCTTGGCCAGTAACTCACAATTATCCAAGCTACAAGCAAATGAAATATGAACCAGATCCTGTTTATAGCTATATATTCAGAATTATAACTGCCAACAGTATAAAAAGGACCACTTAGCTGGTCATTGTATTCTCTCACATGGGGTAATCTACAGAAGTTGTATTGTATTGAAGGTTTTGTGGTGAGTACAGACTGTGTTGAATGAAGTCATTTGGGTGGTTCTACTGTACATGCCATTGGGGTATAAAGGCCTTACTCATTTATCTCCTCTGATAGAAAACATTTGCCAAATTAAATCATGATTTGAACCATCTCTCCACTGGCTCCTAAAGATTCTATTGGAGAAGTATTTAATACTTACACAATATTGTTTTCTCATTTATTTTATTTTAAGGAATATGACCACTCTCTTTCTATTTTTTATTTTTCAAGGCAGGGTCTTGCTCTATCAAACAGGCTGGAGTGCAGTGGTGTAATCGTGGCTCATTGCAGTCTTGACCTCCCAGGCTCAAGTCTTCTTCCCATTTTAACCTCCCCTGTAGCTGGGACCAGAGGCATGTGGCACCATGTGCAGCTAATTTTTTATTTTTTTGTAGAGATGAGGCTTCTCTATGTTGCCAAGGCTGGTATCAAACTCCTGTGCTCAAGAGATTTTCCTACTTCAGTCTCTCAAAGTGGTAGGATTACAGGCGTGAGCCAACGTGCCTGGCCCACTCTCTCCCTTTACACTTTGATTTTCTGTTGGTTTATTTTAACATGGGCTTCAGTACATGCGCTGTTAATCACAAGCCCTCCAAGTATTTTGTTTTAACAAAGTTATCTTTATTTGACATGGACATTCCAAAGACTCCCAAGCCATACATATAAGGATAATATTTTGGCTTAATTATTAAGAGTAGTCATTAACACATATTGGTACCTCCTATTGGGAGAAGTAAAAGTGTTTACACAAAGTCATGACAACTAAGTCAAATAAATTCAATTCTGAGATAATTTTCGGGTGAGATTAATAGTGTTCAGTGATCTTTGAAAATGATACAACCAAAAGATGTATTGAAGAAGTATGCAGATCTATTAATCATGATTTCTACAAAGAAGAACATGAGTATTTCTGTAAAGATGTTTTTGGACAAGATTTTAAAATCAGCTAATAAAATTTGATTGGTAGACACTGAGGAAAGTATTGAACTATTGGCAAAAGCAGTGCTGTTCACTGAAGAATAACATAAGACCAATACATCTTTGCTAGATTAATAGTATAATATTTTCCGTAAAGTTGTTAAATAACTAGATTGGAAGTTTCTACGTAGGTGTGAATATATGGACTTTAGCAAAATCTTGGGCAGAATTTCATGAATTTCTTATGTAATATGGTGAAACATTAATTATGTAGTAATTATATAGTGATAGATAGATTTGGGGCAATGAATTCTAGTTGAAGGATCAAGACCAGCCATGAGCAGAGCTTCTAGTTTCTTCTAAGGAAACATTTTTATGAATTGAAATAAGGGTATAGCTTGAACATTTACCAAATTATTGAACTTTTTGTAAAAAGTGAATGCTTCTTTGTCAGAGAGCAAGTCTAACAAAAAGCATTGGACATTGGACTTATCAAATCAGACACAGAATAATCTGATCTTTTAGTCAGTATCAAGTTGATTACTTACATATGCCAAATATCTCAACTGCACGTGAGTTGGTAGTAGGTTCTGAAAATCTGGGATGTGCTAAAATAAAGGGAAATAAAGAGCAACAGTGATGTTCAGATTGTACTTAGAAAGTAATTCTCAGAGAGAGCCAGGCATGGTGGCTCACGCCTGTAGTCCCAGCAGTTGGGAGGCCGAGGCAGGTGGATCGCTTGAGGTCATGAGTTCAAGACCAGCCTGACCAAGATGGATGAAACCCCGTCTCTAATAAAAATACAAAATTAGCCAGGTGTGGTGGTGCATGCCTGTAATCCCAGCTACTTGGGAGGCTGCGGCAGGAGAATCTCTTGAACCCTGGAGGCAGAGGTTGCATTGAGCCAAGATTGTGCCACTGCATTCCAGCCTGGGCAACAAAAGTGAAACTCTGCCAAGAAAAAAAAAAAAAAAGAAAGAAAGTAATTCTCAGAGTTATCAGAGAAGTTAAAAAATTGTTTTTTATATCCAATTCTGCCTTACAGTTGCTTCAGGAGCTAGGATAAGTCAGCTTAATAGAAAGGGGAAGAAAGGACAATGATGGAACATCTGCAGATGCAGCAAAGTGAAGATGATACAGGTTCTTCTCAATAAGCAGAGTCTGTCTGCTTTGTGGGCTCATGATGGTTCAGCCAGTCAGAATGTGTTGAGCCCCTGTGAGAGCTCAGGCCTTGTACCAGGCCAGCTACAATAAGTCAAATGAGACAGACTCTCAAGAAGTTCACAGTTCAGTGCATAGGGCAGACTTTTTTTTTTTTTTTTTTTTTTTTTGAGGCAGAATTTCTCTCTTGTTGCCCAGGCTGGAGTGCAATGGTGCAATCTTGGCTCACTGCAACCTCTGCCTCCCAGGTTCAAGCAATTCTGCAGCCTCCTGAGTAGCTGGGATTACAGGTGCCTGCCACCACACCCGGCTTTTTTTTTTTTTTTTTTTTTTTGGATTTTTAGTGGAGACAGAGTTTCACCATGTTGGCCAGGCTGGTCTTGAACTCCTGACCTCAGGTGATCCACGTGCCTCAGCCTCCCAAAGTGCTGGGATTACAGGCATGAGCCACAGTGCCCAGCCACATGGGACAGACTTTTAAACCAATTATTGCAATTCTTGCAAAAAAGACTTAAATTGAAGTTTTGTTTTGTTTTACAAAAGGTCAGATGAAGATGTCCCAAACATATACAGGATATTAATATATGTTTGACACACATGAACATAAATAGGAGTTGAGTTCACATACATGTGGAAAACATTAGGTTCTGTACCTCTACTGCATAGCTTCACAAAGTCTTAGGTGTATTCTATTCATCTGTGAATCTTGGAGAGAAATCTATTGTAGGCAACCTTTTTTGAACTATTTGTCCAAAGGAGCATATATGCTAGAGCTACGGTTTAGGGTAAATCCTGGGATAAAGGGAGACAGAGGAAGGAGCACCCACATACATCAGAATAGTTCGGGCCATTTTTAAGTGAAAGAATAAAAAATTATATTTCTACAGTTAGTAGCTGGAGAAAGGAAATATGAGAGAGAGGGAAAAGGAAGAATAAAGGGAAATAAGAGATGGAAGAGCACATTTGGGAAATGGCAAGGAGTCCCAGAACTGGACAAACTTGATGTAGTTGGTGAAGGGGCCAGAGCAGATTATGACCACCCTATCTGCCCTTTGAAATAAGTATAATCTTATCTCTTGTTGAAGAAGAAAACCTTCTGAGGTTTCAAGCAGGGAAGTGATGAGATTTTCTTAAACAGCTTACTCTGTCAGTAGCTGTGTGCAGAGTTTGCCTGAAGGCACTGATCGCAGAATCCTAGCTAATGGAACAAACTTGGGATTTTACTTCAAATATTCACCAAATGCTAGCCCTTTAAGCAACCCTGTGGACATTAGAAGGATAAATTTTCATTTAGTCTGTGCCAGATTCAGAGAAAGCGGCAAGTGCAGAATGCCTGGGGAGGCAGTGAGATGAGTTGCAAAGTGGACCTTGAACTGGTCTTCGAGGAAAGAGCACTTGATTTTTATGGGCAGCGATGGAAACATCCTAATGAAGATGTCAGCGTAAACAGGACGAGGATGAGGCAATCTGTTTGGAAATACTGGCTCTCATCAGCAAAGGGAATCACATTATAATTTAATTTGGATTACATATAACTTTTTCCTTAAAACATCCATAAAAGCATACCATTCCCCTGCATGAAACTTTTTAATGGATTTAGAATGAAATCTAGGCACTATCTGCTGCCATGCCAAGTCCTCCATGATTTGGCTCTGCCTGGCACCCTGACCACTCCTACCACGTTATTATTCTCATTTCTCTACCTACCCCAGGGCCTTTGTCCTGCCTTTCCCTCAGCACTAGCTATTGTACTTATCTGCACGTGGTTGATTCCTTCTCATAATAAATAATTCAATTAAATACATTCTGTAAGAGACTTAGCCTCTCTATTTTATGTACTTCCTATTTTATTCATATTAACTTCTTTTGTTTCTCCACTGCATTTATTAAAATCTAACTAATTTATGTGTTCACCTTTTTCTCATCAGCCTCTTCACTAGAAAATAAGTTCTGTGATAGTAGAACTTGCTTGTTGTGGATCTCCAGCCCAATGCTTAGCATAATTATAAAAGCTCAATGAATACTTATGGAAATAACACTTTTAAAAATAAATGTAAATAGTATATGTTTTTCTTAACTCTTAAGTTGCTTAAATGTCTAAAACGTATAAGCAAACCCACCCATGAAACACAAGACCATGCAATTTAGTTCTAGATTAATTCTCAATCAGCGATCTTCTTTCTTGAGATTTCCTCTGCTTAAGCAGTAGCATATAAAAAATGGTATTAATCTAATGAAGACTTTTTTTTTTTTTTTTTTTTTTTGAGACGGAGTCTCCCTCTGTCGCCCAGGCTGGAGTGCAGTGGCGCGATCTCGGCTCACTGCAAGCTCCACCTCCCGGCTTCACGCCATTCTCCTGCCTCAGCCTCTGGAGTAGGTGGGACTACAGGCGCCCGCCACCACACCCGGCTAATTTTTTTCGTATTTTTTAGTAGAGATGGGGGTTTCACCGTGTTAGCCAGGATGGTCTCGATCTCCTGACCTCATGATCCGCCCTCCTCGGCCTCCCAAAGTGCTGGGATTACAGGTATAAGCCACCATGCCCGGCCTAATGAAGACTTTTTAAAGTTGAAGTTTCCAGTTCACTTAGTAGTACTGAGGGTTAAAGGTGTTAAATATTAATGTTTCCAACAGGATTGGAACACAGCTTAGGGAAGTCAAGTAAATTTGCTTATCCAGTGAGGTCGCCTGTCTTCATGTTGCATTCACTCTTCTAAGAAGGATTTCATCCCTTTTTTTTTTTTTTTTTTTTTTTGCATGAGAATTGAAGCAGAAGCTTGTGCTGTATTGAAAGTATATTGAATATGGGCTCCGTTTATTGATGAAGCTTTCAAGCACTCACCAGTTAGGAGGCATAGAGGAAAGAGAATGAATGTTCACTATTATATAAGTTATGGGCATGGTAGGTGACTTCACAGGAGTTATCACATTTTGTCTTTTGAAGTTACCAGGGATCTTAAATATGTGATGTATGAAATCGCCATAACCTGAGTGACCTAATCTTTGGTTTGGGGAAAACTGCTCCTGTCTTCATTTTAGTATCCTTGGGAATACCAGATTTGGGGAGCTACCTAGTATGTATTCAAGAAAGCTGTCCATATTTAGAGTGCGCACGAGTGAGACTGCCATTCGTGGAAGAGAAAGACATAGAGCTTCAGGGCACAGAAAGTTAGTCTTTTAAAAAAGCCTCTTAAGGGAATTTTTTTCCACTATATATGTGAAGAAATAAGGCTGATGAAAGTAAAAGTAATATGCCCAACTGATAAATAGTAAAGATGAATAATAATCCAGATCAAAATGTCTCTAAAGCTTGAACTATTCCCATAATCCTTCCCTAGGAGCATAATATAAAATGGTGTGTTTTCTCCAAATATGATGATATCCTACTTTGTGCTGGGCTCCAAGCACACTGGGCCAGGGCCATAACTACACTCAACTAGGCCCTCAGCTGTAGAAGGTATATCATGGGTAGGCTGGCCAGATTTAGTCAATAAAAATGCAGGACACCCACATAAATTTAAATTTCAGAGATGTAACAAATACTTTTTTAGGCTAGATATGTTTTGTGTATTGCATGAGGTGTATCTATAAACATCGTATTTGTTGTTTACTTGTAAAGCCATTTTTGAGTATTTTATCTGGCAACCCCTGCTGTAGGGCCATGAGCACAGTAAGGAGTGGCTCCCCAGTGACCCACTTCTATCTCACACTCCAGTTCCCAGGAAGGCTGAATTAGAGTTAATATGAGCAGTGCAGGAAGATAAGCAGAATTAATGAGGAAACTTAGCAAAAGGGGTTGGAATAAGAGTGTGCTTTGTGTCCCAAGGGACAGCTCTGCTTGTTACACGATGAGAATTATGCACAAAATACTAAACTGTTCCCAAATTACCTCAGCAACTATGGTTGTTTAACAAGGCAAACACAACCTGCAAGCTCATTGGTTCTGGGCAGGATGGATCCTGCTGTCAGAGCAACTGATGAACTATTTTAAAGCCAAGTTCCTATTGTGAGTGAAATAGATTAACACTTCAGATATGGATGCTTCAAAAAACAAATAGCAGCATGCTAACTTAGTTAATGAGTTTTTGAGGAAGAAAGTAGCATTTAACTTACCAAAAGATGCAGTTCAAGGCTATATTAATGAAGTAATAACAGCTGTGTCTTTATCTGTTCACTACCCATTCATTTTCTCATTACATTCAGACTGCTAACTTCAGTCACAAACATGCTTGTATGAGAATATGGGGCCTTTTGTTCCTACCAGAAAATAATCAAGATGTCTATCTTCTAGAGTTGTACTGTATCATAGAAGTGATTCAATGATTCTGCTTTTCTATTTCTGTGAGAAAAAGGCATGCTATGGGATTCAAGCACTGTAATAAACACACACACACACTGAAGCCAGGTGGACATTTATCAAATTTTGACTTCATCTCCTATATGCTGTGAGACATGGGCTATCTGCCTAGCTATATATCTATGTATTTATGTATGTGTGTATGTATCTATCTATATCAATGTCCACCGCTGATGGTTCATTAATATAAAGATTGATGATGTAACACCCCACATATGCATTTCTTGACATACAGGCATTCAAACTATGTTTTTCCTTTCTTCATTTCCTAATGTGCTACACTGTGTTTTCCTGGTTTACTGAGTATGCCTGTGTGTCCAGAAACCCTCAAGGACAGAGCTGTGTGCTTTAGGAGTCTTCCTCGTTTTTGCCCCTGGAACAGTGCCAAATACTATAGAATTTTAGTTGCATCTTGCCACACCACCTGGCTAACCTCATCTCATCTACTCATGCCTTTCTCAACCATTCAGAAGCACGTTCTCTTCTTTTAACACGCCGTGATTGTCCATGCCCGTCTTTTCTGCATGTGATTTCTATGTGCCATGACACTTAAGACTTACCACCCTTTCCTAATACATCGTTCATGCAGATCTGCATTCTTAGTGTATAAGGCGCTTATGTGTTCTACTGTAACTTTGCTAGATTATGGTGTCACCATGGTTTATGTCTGTCTTACCCCAAAATATTGTGAAAGACACAAACGACATTATCTCATTCCAGTCTCAGCTGGAATTTCAAATCCCATTGTCTAAATCAAATCCAGGTGAAGATGAGGCTCTTCACATGTAGTTCCTTAAGCTTTGGCAACATGAGTAGAGTTTTCTTGACGGTAGATGTGTTAACTAAAGAGACAATTATCTGTCCCACATACACCTAACATGCAATGGCAGACAAGCAAACAACATTATAGACATTTCTGCTCAAAAAGGATGGTGGAGGGAATGGAAGGCACTGTCCAGTGGAAGAATCGCTGGTCCATAGCAATAATGTCACCAAATAAGGCAAATGTTGTAAGTTCCTTGTTTAGGTCTCAAAAGTGATATCACACCACTTTTGCCATATCTTATTTGTCAGGAGTTAGTGGGTCAATCTCACATTATAAGGAGATGGGGTCCTTGAGGGCATCTTAGAGATTGTCTACCACACAGTTTCCCAGAGCCTTTGGCTAGTTTGTGTAGGACTTCCATATGCCACAAAGGCCTGTGTCACACATTCTTTTGTGTTATCTTCTCAATACTGCCTGTTTAAGGTGGGTAACAGTTACTACCAACAACTAGGACCCCAGGAAAAGCTCAGGTTTAAATACCTGACAAACCAATGATTACATTAGCTGCCAGTGGATACCTCTGTGTGGGTGATTAAGACTATTATTCACCTGTAAAATATTCATACCTCTCTCACAGGAATGTGGTTAGCATAAAACAAAATAATCTATTTGGAAGAAAACAAGCATACCCTTTCTCTAAAAATATTTACTTTTATAAGTTTATGATGCTCTCAATGTGTAGAAGACATCGTTTCAAATGTAGTTACATAATATGTTGATGTATGCGGAATGTGCTATATAAGAAGGCATGCCTTTTTTTCTTGGAAAATTATATTGTCATAAAAAGTCATGTTTTTGTTATTAAAATCAAACACTATGTATTTACAGGTCTTTTTTTGCAACAATTGCCCAATCAAATTCTTATTTCTGTGAATAAATGATATATTATTATTAATTATACATTTAGAAGAAGCCTCGGAGATCAGCAAGTTGAACCTGTCCCTTTTAGCTGATCAGTCTGTATATAGAGTTGAAATCTGTCTGTCTGTATAGCACAATGTCATGAAGTCATAGATTCCTGGAATTTAATCTTTGCTCTTTTAATTACTAGAATTTGGGTACATTAATTTTCCTGAGTCTCAGTATTCTTGTCTGTAAGACAGGGCTAATAATAGTACAGTGTATATTCTAACAACTCTTGTAATTGTTGAAAAGAATTTCCCTAGTCAACTTATATTTGTTCTCTAATCTGCTCCTTCACCTCATAGTCTCTCTAGTCCTTCAAGATAATTATCTTGGCTTCTCTCTAAGTCTTATCTCCTTAGTCATACTTATTATGATATTATTTTCAACTCTTTCTTTTCCTGTGCACTATTTTCAGAAAAGCTTCGGTTTGTCATTAACTCTTCAGAAGTTAAAACCTATGTCCCATGGTATTTTGAAACTTAGTTGAGAGAATGCATGTCATACTTCCAGAGTAGCTCATATGCAGTAAATGATCCAAAGTATCCTGATTCATCTTTTCTGTCATTTTTTTTCACACCAGAGTTGTGTCTCTCTCCAGGAGATAGCTTTGTAAATATTTTGCTATAGTTTTTTTTTTTTTCCTCTTCCCCAGCCACACTTTACAGAGTGGAGATGATACTATGCAATTCTGTCTATTTAAAATGTATTTATATTAAGTTTTCTTGGTATGGAAATATTGCTTATATTTATCTTGTAATTTGTTTTGGCTTTATAGTTGTATAAGAGATATAAGCAAAATGGGTCTACACTTTGTTTTACCTGTCTACCATTAAAAATTTCCCTTGGGGGGAAAAAAAAGATGTTTGTCTTACATAACTGCAGTTGTTTTATATAGCCTTTAGTCAACAAAAATATCACTCTTAGTGGACTAGGCTAGAACTGTCTTTTAGCAACTTCTACTTATATATTTATGATGATTTACTTAATTGAGATATAACACTTTACATATTGTTCTAACTTTCGTCATCTTTGTTTTTTCTGTTCCACAGATAAAAAATACAGATATTTTTGCATATTGAGGAAATAAAGTTTAAAAATTTGACATTCCTTGAGCCAAAAGAAATGTGGAAAATATTTTTCACCTTTCTGTTTTGCCTGATTAATGTTTAAATTCTCATCAAAACTAAAGTAATTTTTAAAATGCCATTGTTGGTAAGATCTCACAGTTTGGCAATGCCCACAGTTATGACAAACACAGAAAACTGGTATTTCTGTAAAATTGACGCTATACTATTAAAACAATGTGACATTATCCCCTGTCCTTCTTTAACCAGTAGCATACTTGTGTTTTCTACTTCTAACTGATCATTATTTTCCCATCATATATTTACCAAATTTTACCTAGAGTTGTAGAACCAAATGGTTCTTACTCTTCATACTGCAAAGACATGAATGATGTTTGGTAACCAAAGAAAAATATATGTTGCACTAAGGATTAGTGTTCTTGCTGTTGCCACTGGTCTGACCAATGAAAAGATGGTAATGTGTATATTAAAGTTCTTTTCTCTCATATATACAAAAAATATTGATTCTGTCTTATAACAACTGGAACTTTTCCAGTCATTCTGTCCTTCAGATATACACACTGACAAGTGAGGACATACTGAGATGGGCGTGGATGTCCCTTATTTATTGTTTGCTGTAGAAATGGAATCACAATCTCAGAACTACAGTTCCAGATTTCAAAACCTTCTTTTTTTGGCTTGATGTTATAATAGGAAAATATCTTCAATTTGGTAAAGTCAATCTTCTATCCAAGAAGAATAATCTTCTGCCCGTAACTACAACTTTTCTAAATACTCTTTCTTTTTTGGAAAATGTATGGTTATGTATATATTTTACTACAGAGAACACAATGAGTTTTCTAACACAATTGTGACAATAGAAGGCAAAAGCATGATGCTCCTGTAGCTGAAACAGGAGCATTATCTTTGGGAAAGCTGGAGTTTTCTCTGAAGACTACAGTGTGCCTGCTGGGTCACAGTGATTCCATGGTCCGGGGAGATTGCCTTATTATGCCCAACATCTTAGGAGGCTGACATTTCTGTCAAGTTGCCATTGTGGAAACAGCAATAGGATATGAATACTATTATTTATTAACTATAACAAGTTGCAATTTCTGCCAGTTTATAAAGCTACTTGAGTTTGTAAAGCTTCTGGTTATGTAAAAGTGAGACTGAAGTAATTAAGACCAAATATAAATTTTGTCCTATGTCAATACAGATCTTCAAAAAAATAAAATACAAAATATACATTGTAAGCCAACTGCAATGTAATCACTGTGGCTTTCAGGGTTTGAGGTATTGAAGAATTGTAGGCCATCTTTGGGGGAAAGTTTACCGGATATCATTTGGAAATGAATCCCCTTTTGAGACGGGGTTTCACCGTGTTGCCCAGTCTGGTTGCGAACTCCTGAGCTCAGGCAATCCGCCTGCCTCATCCTCCCAAAGTGCTGGGATTACAGGCGTGAGCCACCGCGCCTGGCCTATTTTTTTTTTTGTATTATTATTTTTTTAGACGGAGTCTCACTCTATTGCCCAGGCTGGAGTGCAAGGGTCCGATCTCGGCTCACTGCAATCTCCGCCTCCCGGGCCCAAGGGATTATCCTGCCTTAGCCTCCCGAGTAGCTGGGACTACATGCATGCGCCACCACCCCCAGCTAATTTTTTTAGTAGAGACAGAGTTTTGCCACGTTGGCCAGGCTGGTCTCGAGGTCCTGACCTCTGGTGATCCACCCACCTCAGCCTCCCTAAGTGTTGGGATTTCCGGCGTGAGCCACAGGGCCCGGCCTTATCAAAGATTTTTCACGAAATAAAGATAATTTCATTTCCTTGGTTTCAACAGTGTTTCATGGAAGAGTGTATTATTTTCTTCTCCTATTATGTGTCTTCTTTTCATATGCCCTCAATTTCCCTTACTCATTTATCTTTTACAAAGGCACTTCCTTTCTTTATTTGGAGCTCAACCCTCACTAGCAGTACCTCGCATATACATGAGTTTGAATGTTCCCTTACAGGAAGAGGAATGTATTTTTGGCAATTCTGAGCCTTTTTATAAAGTTCAGATTGGATCGATACGTTTTGCAGCTTTTTTTGACTAAATGAAAACTACTTTAAATGCATTATTTTACCTATCCGACTGACTTTGTGAATTAATGGAATAATACGAGCAATACACTTGGGCTTTGGAGCTTAGTATTGTCAGTGCTATCGATTTGTTTAGAATATTTCCATGAATAGTTTATAGGATCCTAGCACACTGTGGCTGAACGGACCTTTTGAGACCTTTCAGTCTGTAATCCAGATTCTTATACTTACTGAGAACTGAGGCTGAGATGCTACAAGACATGCCTACATTTTCTCAAGTAAAGACAAAGTTAGGTTTCAACAGCAAGCATTTCTTAGCTATCTGCTACTAGGCATAGTCTTATCATTTCACCTTTACTGCTTTTGTCTTTAAATGACAACCAGTTCAGATCCTCAATTCTTATAGCCCAATGTATTTATACCTAGATAGAAAGATAGATAGTTGTAGTCCTTCTTCAATGAGGATTCCATACAATTAGCCTTGAGGCTTAATGACACCCTTGTAAAATCGTTCTAATTAGCAAAGATGCATTATCACAGAAGCAGTTCTTACCCTTCGGAAATGTCTCGGGAAATGTCTCACGCAGTCATTATTTTGATCTGGCTAAAGATGCAGTGTAGCAAGAGTGGCTAGGTTCTACTCCTAGACGCTGTCATGGCCTTGTTATTTTCAAAGGGTGTTTGTAAGCTCCTACTACCGTGCTGCATTCATCTGTGTGTCCCTCATGCCCAGCTCAGAGATTAGGATAGAGCAAGCTCTTAAATGTTGCTGGACAATTGGATTTTCATAAGTCACTTTTAATGATTTTACATACCCAAGCATCAGCTCCGATTACGCTGAAAGTGTGATGCTCCTCTTACCTAGATGACATTTAAACTCCCTTCATATTGAAAAACAGAATTATCTAAACAAAAAATATGGTTGAAAGAGTTTATGGCAAATAGAATTTGGCTGTGAATTATGTTTTCCAATCCCTGCTGTATAGAGCAAATTGTTAGAATCAGCATTTATAATTGAGTTTCAACTAAATGCTTTGTTTTATAATTTGCTGTGAGGTAATTAGAAAAATGTGCATGAAAGCATGACACGTATAAATCACAGGTATATTCATCTGAAGTATTTTGTGCAGTTTATATTTATAGCTCATTCTGTGAAGCTAAATCCACTGTATTGAAACAGACAATTAAAGGAAGGTAAAGGGACTATTTTCCCAGCAATTGCAATGTGCTAGGCATGATGCCAGGCACTGCACAAGCTCTATCTCCATTAATCTTCTCTAATGTAAATATTGCCACCACTTCACAAATAAAGAAACTGAACTATGTATAAAACTGAGCTTAAGGGGATTAATGAATATATTATTTGTTGTTGAACATATGCAGGTCTAATTAAAGTAATTGCAAGTTATATTAAAAGAATTTGTGGTAGAGACAGAAGTTGAACCCAGTGCTGACTGGCACTCTAGTTATTGTTATAAAGGCAATTTGTATTATTGAGTTACTTTGAATAATACACATTTTACATTTATTTAAATAACCATTTAATTTGTAATGATAAGTTTACAGATTTTTTAAAAATAGAAACATATTATGGCATCATTGTGTATCAAACAAGGGCTATTTATAAGAGCTCCCTTGGTGTGCTTTTATTTTCCTTGTCTAAATGGAGCCAGATGACTAGAAATTGTGGAAAAGCATAGACTGGTTCAATAAAATCGAACCTGGAGACAAATCCAATTCTATACTCTAACACAGCCATTTGTAAAGTGTGTTCCCTAGTGATATTAAGAGGTGTTTTGTACACACACACTCACATAGCAAACATTAAAAATAAATAAATGGTTACATATGTGCATGACAGAATTCCATGATCAAATATGTTGAGGGATTCCTGGGTTGAAGAAAATAAAGCATTTGTTTTAAAATTGTGTAAATGCTCATATCCATTGACTTGAAAATGTGCCTCGTGAAGCTCCAAGGGAGAAATGGAATTTAAAAAATCCCCAGACCTTCTCATCACAAAAATCTCTTTTACAAGAAACAATTGTTAAATCTTGGAGTGTAAGTAGATAGCATGATACATCTTGGGAAATGCTTATTCATTTACTTATTAACAAAAGCGTATGAGCACTTACTGTACGCCAATCATTTTATAGGTATTGGGAATGCAGAATGATTAAAACTGACAAAGATTTCTGCCCTTGTGGAGCTAATATTCTAGCAGGGGAGACTAAATATAAACAAGACAAAGAAGTGAAATATGTATGACTGATTCTGATGATTCTTAAGAAAGAAAAAATAAAAACAAGCAGATAAAAGGCTGGACAGTGTCAGGACAAGGAGTTGAATTTTTAAACAGGGAGCCAGGGAAGGCCTCACTAAGAACGTAGTATTTTAGTGGAAATTGAAGTTAAGGAACAAGCTCTGTGGATTTTTAAGGGAAAACTTTCCAGGCATAGGAAAGTTGAAATTCAAGCGCAAGGCAACTGTGACTGGAGCGGAATGAGCAAGGGGAGGAGTTAGATGAGGTCAGAAAGGTTACCAGGACCCAGATCGGGAAGGTCCTTGAAGGTTATAGTAAGGAATTTGGTTTTGAGTGAAGTGGGGAGCCCTTGGAGGGCTTTGAACACAGGAATGACAAAACTCGGTATTAGAGCTGATTTTTTGAGAAAAGCCAGGTGTGGTTGAGAGGGAGGGTAAAACAATCAGGTAGAAGGCTACTGTAAGGATCTAGAGGAGACACGAGGGTGACCTGAACAAAGATTTCAGCCCTGGTGAACTCCAATCGGATTCTGAATCTATACTGAGAGAGAGTCTGCTGGATTTGTTGAAAGAGCGGATACCGGGTTTGAGAGACAGCAATCAGAGATGAGCCAGGATTTCGACTTCAGTAACTGAAAAGATGTTTTGAACTTCTTAGAATGAGGAAGACCTTGAGAGAAGGAGGTTTGGAGAGGGAAAGTTGAATATAAGGAGCTAATTTTTAGGCATAATAATATCAAGATGCATTTTATGTATTCAGGTGCAGAGGTGGATTTGGCAGATGGAATACTAAAGTAGGCGGTAAATATCACTCAGTTTACATAGATAGATCACATGGAAATTCCAAAGTTAGAATGGTCTAGATTTAAATAGCTAATTCTCATTTACAGAAACTTCAACGTGAAACTACAATTCTATAAGCTAACTTGTGCAGCCCTGCTTCCAGAAGAAACAAAGAAACAGAAAAAATCAAAAGGGAGGAAATATCGCCTGCCCCAGTCTTAAGTGATTCCCATTCGTTGCCTTTCCTGGGCTTGAAGGTGGAGTTTTGAGTAAAACAGCAGCAGTGGTTGCTGGATGCTTTCTGATGGCTCTACAGTTGCCCTGAAGGAATCTCAATAGGAGTGTTCCTTAAGAATCCTGCTGATGAGCAGCACTCCACCCTCACCATCTTCAACTGAAACAGCCTTAGAGGAATTTTTGCTGGTTTATAGATCTTCTGTTTTGACAAAGATAGCTCGTGACATCACTCTGCCAGGCTGAAGGACTTCTATTCTGAGACTGGTGACAGCAAGCCAAGAAAGCCAATACTCTAAGTGAATTTAATAGACTCTATTCTCATGCTACTTGGGTTGCTATGGGAACCTTATTAGAAAATACAGGGACTCTAGATGATCTGCTAAGTTTTTTTTTTTTTTTTTTAAGTAATGTAAGTGGCTTTATCTTCAGGAAAAAAAATAAGTTGTTTTTCTAAAATTGTGAACATATAGAGAAAAATATAAAAAACCTAAATATGTTGCTTACACATTTGTTATAAAGGACAAATCCGTGTAACCAGACATATCAAGGAAAAGAACGGTGCTGATTTTTTAAAAGACAGTCACTTGCCCCTTTCTACTCACAGTACTTCCGTTATCTCAAAACCATAACCAAAACAAAAAACAACAAATATCTTATTATGGTCTTTATTTTCATGCTTGTATTTAGCATTGTATCACCCGAACAAAACTGACTTAGACTGATTTATTGCATATTATATATACATACATAATATACATTCATCATGTGAATATAATTTATACATTCTACTGTTCATGAGCCTTTGGTTGTTTCTAGTTTTAGGATATTAGGAATAATTCTACCTTTCTACATTTTAGTAGCCATCTTTGTATAAATGTGCTCATTTCTATTTAGCATCGTTGGACCATAAGATATATGTCTCTTCAAATTTAATAGGTACTGCCAGACACTTTTGTGTTGTGGTTTTGTTGTTTTGTCCTTTGGTTTTCCAACATTGTTAAACCGATTTACATTTCAACTTGAATTGCGTAAGACGTTCTGTTACTCCACATTCTTTTCTGCACCTTAAATGGTCCCTAGTTTGTATATTTTGCCATTCTATTTTGTGTGTAGTGATATCTTATTTGTCTCCCCTAAATGAGAATTTGGACAATTTTCGTCTTTATTTGACATTTGGATAATCTGTTTGTGAAGTATCTGTTAGGTTTCTTATTTTCTGATAGATTTCTTATTTTCTTATTGATTTCTTAGAGTAATTACTTATATAACATACAACTTGTAGCTTTACAATAAGTTTGTATTTCTGGTAGATCAAGTAAACCAACATTATACTTTTTCTACAAGTGTGTCCTAGTTATTCTTGGCAATTTGTATTTCTGTATAATTTTAAAATCAACTCTAGTTATTTTTAAAAAGAAAGAAAAAAATGAACTTGATTTTTATGAAGATTATGTTAAATCTATAGATGAGTTTGAAAAGTATTGATAAATATTTACATATTAAATATTCTAATCGGTCTGCTTAAAATACATATTCTTTCTGTGCATGGACATTGTCTACCTCTTCTGTTTGGGTCCTCTTTAATGTTTTCCAATACAAATTTATAGTTTGAAAAATAAGAATGAAAATAAAATAAAAAATGAAATATTCTAATCTATGCTTGTGATACAGATTTCTTTATATCTTCTTTCATTTGTTTGTATCTTCTTTCATTTCCCTCAACATATTTTATAGATTTCTGTCTAGAGGTCTCACACATCCTTGTTAGATTTACCCTTTGACATTTAGTTTTTTTGATGTTATTGTAGATGATATGAATTTTTAAATTTCATTTTATGCTCATTATCGTTACAGAGAAATTCAGTTGGTTTTTATATATTGAGTTTATAGCTAGCAACCTTGTTACTCTTACTTATTACACATAATAATTCATCTGAAGATATTTTTGGATTGTCTATAAAATCATGTCATCTGAACATTAAGATTTTTTTGTTCTCTCTTAAATTTAAATATTTTATTTTTTCTTAATGTCTCTCTGTCTGGGTAGACCATCTTTTACAATATTAATTAAAAGTAGTCATAGCAGGTTTAATTTTCTTATTCCCAATCTCAGAATGAAAGCTTTTAACAATTTACCTTGAATTATGATTTTGCTTAAGGCTTAGAAGCTATCTGCTATTGCAGTAAGAAAGTTTCCCTTCTATTTCTAGTTATCAAAAAAATTTTAAAAATTATAAATATATATTGTTTTACTCAATCTATTTGTATCATATGATTTATCCTTTAGTTTGTTATTGTAATAGTAAAATTGATTAGTTTTCAAGTGTTAAACCAATTATGCATTCCTGTAATAAATTCAACTTGGTTGGGATATATTATACCTTTTAAATATTGCTAGATATAAGAGTTCTATTTTTGAAAGATTTTTTAAATTCACGTTTATAATTGTAATTTGGGCCTTATTTTACCATGAGGAAATAGAGATGTTGAGTACTAGTAGACATTTTTAGGCCTAAAGATGAAAAGTCTTCAGTGTAGCCAAAAAAAAAGGCAAGCGAGAAATGAAAGAGGCAAGAGGAAACAACAGACAGGGCACAAGAGATTCAAAGAGAAAACACATAAAAGGATGTTAGAAATAGGCCAAGCATGGTGGCTCACGCCTGTAATCCCAACACTTTGGGAGACCAAGGTGGGAGGATCGCTTGAAGCCCAGGAGTTCAAGACCAGCCTGAGAAATATAGCAAGACACTATCTCTACAAAAAATTTTAAAAATTAGCCATGAGTGGTGGCACAGGCCTGTGGTACTAGATACTCAGGAGGCTGAGGTGGAAAGATTGCTTGAACCTAGGAGATTGAGGCTGCAGTGACCTGTGATCATACCACTGCATTTCAGCTTGGATGATAGAGTGATAACCTGTCTCAATAAATAAATAAATAAATAAATAAATAAATAAATAAATAAAAGTTAAAAATAAATTTAAAAAATAAATCTTCATAATCAATGGACATATGCACATACATACCAGGCAAACAATAACCAGAGTAATGTGTATTATTAATATCACATAATATAAAATTAAGGAAAGTTTATTAGAAATAAGTTTCTCTCTAGTTAATAAAATGTTTACCTAACTAGGAAGATAAAAAATTGTGAAGGTATATGTACCTCATAACACCACCTCAAAATATATAAAGGTAAAAATATGTGTGTGTATATTCCTGTAACTATGAAATTGATAGAATAAAAAACAAACTTAAATATTTATAACATAATGGGATATCTTAGGCACCTTTCATAGTGATTGATAGATCAAATAAATAATCAAAAATTTAAAAGATTATGTATGATATGAAGTGTATAATTAAGCTTGATGTGATGGTCACATAATGAATGTTATATCTGAAGAACAGATACTGTTTCCAGGAACATATCATTTATACAAATAACAACATTCTAGTGCATAACACAGCCTCCACAAATTTCAAAGAGTTGATATTTTGCACAAAATACTAACCACAGTGGAATAAAGTTAAAAATTAATAACAAAAAGGAAGACCAGTTATGCCTTTTATAATCAGGGATATTAACATATTTATAGTTAATTCTTAGAACTAGAAGTAATGATAATGGAAATTAGGATATATTTAGAATTAATAGAAGTGGGCCAGGCGCGGTGGCTCACGCCTGTAATCCCAGCACTTTGGGAAGCTAAGGCGGGCAGATCACGAGGTCAGGAGATCGAGACCACCCTGGCCAACATGGTGAAACCCCGTCTCTACTAAAACTACAAAAATTTGCTGGGTGTGTTGGCGTGTGCCTGTAATCCCAGTTACTCTCGAGGCTGAGGCAAGAGAATCATTTGAACCAGGGAGTAGGAGGTTGCAGTGAACTAAGATCGTGCCACTGCACTCCAGCCTGGCAACAGAGCGAGACTTTGTCAAAAAAAAAAGAATAAATAGAGGTGAAAATACAAATACTTCATATTGAAATGTCTAGGATGAAGCTAATGCCATGTTTACAGGTAAATTTATGAACTTTTCTTATATTAGAAAAGACAAATGGCTCAGTGTAATAAACCAAAAATTCCACCAAAAAAGTTAGAAAAAATGAATCATAGTAAACCAAAAAGACAGAAGTAACTGATAAAGAATAGAAGGAAAAAATGAAATAAAAATTATCAGATAAAGAGAGGATCAGATGAGACAAAAGTTGGTTATTAAAATGTTACCCTATAACAAAACAAAACAAACATCAAGCTCAGTTGATTTTGGAGATGAGTTCTATAAAACGTACCAGCAACACAATTTCAAGTTATACAATCTCTTTCAGAGAATTGCAAAGAGGAAACATCCCAAAATTTATTTTAAATGCATGGCATAACCTTAAAGACAAAATCTGTCAAAAACAGTACAAGTGAGGAAAGAGCAAATTGAACCCAGCAAAGTATAAGGAGATAATATCACTTGATCATTATTCCTGTAATGTAATATTTCTTCCATTTTAGCAAATGTACTAGGTGTAAATCACCACATTAAATAATAAAGGAGAAAAAAATGATCATTTTGATAGTAACAAAAAATAATTAAATAAGCCTAGCATATATTTTTTTTAGATGAGGAAAAACTGTTAGGCAAAGTTTTACACAATTCCTTTTAAATCAGTGGGGACCAATAGTTTTAAAAGGGTAAGATTTAAGCTGCTCTACAAATCTACATATAAACCAATTTGTGTCAACATCTCCCATTTTCTTTGTCATCCGTAATACCAATTTTGGTTCTCAGGTTAATATGTCATTTTTCCTGTTTGAGATTTTTCTCCTGTACTTAGAGTCCTTTAACTTCTCCACTGCCTCTCACATCTTTTTGTATAAATTTGTATTTTTCCTATTAAGACTCAATTCATCTATTACCTTCACTGAGAAATATTCCCGAGAACCCTTACCCTGAATTGGCACAACTATCAGGCTCCATAAGTTTTGCCTCTACAATAATTTTTTTTTTAACTTTAAGTTCTAGGGTGAATGTGCAGAATGTGCAGGTTTGTTAAATAGGTACACATGTGCCATGGTGGTTTGCTGCACCCATCAACCCGTCATCTAGGTTTTAAGCCCTGCATGCATTAGGTGTTTGTGCTAATGCTCTCCCTCCCCTTGCCCCCACTGCCCGACAGGCCCTGGTGTGTGATGTTCCCCTCTCTGTGTCCATGCGTTCTTTGTTCAACTCCCACTTATGAGTCAGAACATGCAGTGTTTGGTTTTCTGTTCTTGTGTTACTTTGCTGAGAATGATGGTGTCTAGCTTCATCCGTGTGCCTGCAAAGGACATGAACTCATTCTTTTTTATGGCTGCATAGTATTCCACGGTGTATATGTGCCACATTTTCTTTATCCAGTCTATCATTGATGGGACTAGTTTTATGATTCATTTCTATCATGGCAATTTCTATATGATATTGCTGTTAATATGTAGATGCTATTCCCACTGAGCTGTGAACTACTCAAGGCAGGGGGTGTGTCACTCATTTCAGACCTCCAGCCCTTAGCACTGTTCCCCACATCCTGAGGGCATCCAATACACCTTTGTCAAATGGGTTGAAGAGTTGAGCTTAGAAATTTACATTCTTTGTTCCTGGGAAGGCTAATCATAGAGAAGGCATAAACATGAAACATTAAACAAGAGAGTTTAATCATATTTTAAGATTATCTGAGAAAAAAATGAAAGACAATCCAGCACAATAACATTCTTTTTTTTTTTTTTTTTGAGACAGAGTCTCGTCTCGCTCTGTCACCCAGGCTGGAGTGCAGTGGCACGATCTCGGCTCACTGCAAGCTCTGCCTCCCAGGTTCACGCCATTCTCCTGCCTCAGCCTCCCGAGCAGCTGGGACTGCAGGCACCTGCCTCCATGCCCAGCTAATTTTTTGTAATTTTAATAGAGACGGTGTTTCACCGTGTTAGCCAGGATGGTCTCGATCTCCTCACCTCGTGATCCGCCCGCCTTGGCCTCCCAAAAGTGCTGGGATTACAGACGTGAGCCACCGCGCCCTACCAATAACATTTTATTTCTCATTTTAATGTTGTAAAATAAAGTGAGTGACAGCTGGTTTGAGTCACCAGTCTGCTGTTTACTGGCTGGCCTAATGTCATTTCCTTGTTGGTAAATTATAGATAATTATTTTACTATAGCATTAGGTTGTTGATAGGATCGAATGAAATACTGCAGCTAATGTACTCAATGCAGTGGCTGAGACATGGAAGTGCCTCTGTGGTCTATGAGTATTATCTTTCCAATCTTGAGAGGTAGTAGAAGGCTACAAAGTGTTGGCGTTTGAGTGGTGTTTAAGAAATGGAGACAATTTGAAGAGAAAGTGATTTGGGGGTTTGCAAGTACAGTTTACATGATGAAAGGTAAGAAAAGAATGAGGCTGACATTTATTGAGCCTCTTCAACATGTGAGTTGTTTGACCAGGCATCTTCCTGACATCCTACCAGTTAATGCTCACAACCAGCACCTGATGAGGTCCTACCACACCATTTACTCATGAAAAACTGCTCTCTGGAAGTTATGAAGCACATGCTGAAGATCACACTTGGTGGAACCAGGCTCCAAGCCTGTCTGATTTTATAGCTACTGAACTTCTTCTGGAGATGGCTAGAAAAGGAGGAATCAAGGATCTGTAGAATCTTTCCTGTGCCTGGCAAAGAAGGATGAGGCTGACTGTGAATGAATTTGTGGATATAGATAAATAGCTATTTTCCATGAAATACCTGTTTATTGTTGTAGGACATCTAAAAGCAGATTTTAATGAGAAGAATGATGTTTTGATTTTCTACATGAAAATAAATGTGAACATTGATATATGTAAAATATGTAAGTGAAAACCTTTGCTTTTTGAAAAATTAAAGTCAGTACCTCAAATGTGGCTTATAAGTCAGCAAAACAACCTGAAACTAGATTTAATATCATGTTTATTCAACAAATTATATGGTTAGTAATCAGTATGAAAGGTTGTTTCTTCCCAGTGGACTGTAGCAGAAACTAACCTCATTACATTTGAGAAACCATCATTGCTAGGGACTAGTTGAAATGTCTGTCTCAGAATGGCAAATGGAATTGCATTTTAAAGAAACTTAGAGTCTTTATTGTTTTCATCACTAAACCCCATACTCATGATTAGCAGGAGTCATTTGTCAGCTGAAATCATACTGGTTCTTCCATTTTAGTTTGATCCATTTCCATCCATCTGCTCATGAGAGAAGAAATTCGGTTTGGTGAAGGATGTCTGGAAAATGCGAAGACCACCAACTTGGGAAACTTTTATCATCACGATACACTGTGTATGTCTCTGAACAACAACATGGTTTGAATGAAGCAAAATAGAGACTTAAAATGTAACTAAATGTACAATTGTATGAATGTGTAAGTGCTATGGAAGAAGAAGCCTTTAGAAGTTCTCAATATTTACTGCAGAATTTCAAAATAGTCTTGGATTAAACACCTTTTGAGAAAAAAATAGACGTTCCTAAACCATAATCTAATGCTTGAGAGAACAGAATAATTTTCAGTACAAGTAAGTTTAAATGCTAAATGAGATGAGATGGTTAAATGTCCAGATGAAAGGTAAAATACATTGTTCCATCACTGAATTCACAGTAACATGCAAAAGATCCATCTTGAATATAACCTGCCCAGTCCCTGAAACAAACCCAAGGCTTCTTTTTTTTTCTGATCTTGATTTCTTGAATGCATAGTGCTTTTAAAGAACTAACATGTCTTTTTTGTTTTGTTTTGTTTTGCGATGCAGTCTCTTTCTGTCACCCAGGCTGAAGTGCAGTGGTGGGATTTTGGCTCACTGCAACCTCTGCCTCCCGGGTTCAAGTGATTCTCCTGCCTCAGCCTCCCGAGTAGCTGGGATTATAGATGTGCGCCACAATGCCCAGCTAATTGTTGTATTTTTTAGTAGAGACAGGGTTTCACCATGTTGGCCAGACTGGTCTCGAACTCCAGACCTCAGGTGATCCACCCGCCTCAGCCTCCCAAAGTGCCGGGATTACAGGCATAAGCCACTGCGCCCTGCTAGAACTAGCATGTCTTAATGTGTTAGGTAATAATAGAAATGTTTCATTCTCTAATTAAATGATGAGGTGATTAATAGTAGGTTAAAGATACTGTAATTATATATTGAGTAGGATACTATTAATATATGTTCACTTAGCACTTACTATAAGGAGGAAGACATAATGTAGCCTTACAGCCCAGCAACTAGGGACCCTTCCAACTTCAGGTCCTCAATCTTGTGCAGCAGACCTGCAGAGTCTCCTTAAAGGGAGGCCAGATGTGCCAGAGAGTCAGTGCCCCTAGAGCAACCCTCAACCAATGAGAGATAGCAGTTGATAGGTAAGTTCCACAGCCTCTTGCTCCACATTGGGACAACCCTGAGTCTGTCCACACTGGGGCTGAGCCCTGGTTGCCTACAGTGGTCAGCCACTTATTAATCCATCCTTTATTGGTCTCTCCCTTTTTTAACTCCCAAACCCCCTCACAGTGTTCCTTGGGATCAATTCCTAAATCCTTCTCTCAGAGTCCAACTAAAACGTGGAGGCAAATATGTACCAAATAGAGCTCATGTTCTCCCTTCAAGACCACCCTTCAGGTGTCAGGAGCCTCACCTGGAGGCTCCCTACCCAGATGGTCTTAAGGTGCTCACAGGGCCAGCTCAGATCACCCTTTCCATGGGTTCTGACTACACAAAAGTAGATGGTGTGCCACAGTCCATACCCCTAGGCCCAAAATTTGGAATGACCTTGGACATCCAGATTGATTGCATACACATTTGCATGATGCTCTTGTCAAGAGGAAATCAGAGTGAGAAGGGAAAGGGAGCAGGTTCTGGGCCTGGGCCTCCATTTGCATTCTTGCCTTGGAATTCTGAGACATTAGGTGTGGGGCTGAATAGAAGGCCAGGAGTTTTACCTTTTTTTTTTTTTTTTTTTTTTTTGAGACAGAGTCTCGCTCTGTCTCCCAGGCTGGAGTGCAGTTGTGCGATCTTGGCTCACTGCAGCCTCTGCCTCTCGGGTTCACGCCATTTTTCTGCCTCAGCCTCCCTAGTAGTTGGGACTGCAGGCACCCCGGCTAATTTTTTTGTATTTTTAGTAGAGACAAAGTTTCACCATGTTAGCCAGAGGGTCTCAATCTCCTGACCTCGTGATCTGCCTGCCTCGGCCTCCCAAAGTGCTGGGATTACAGGCTTGAGCCACCGCATCTGGCCAGGAGTTTTTATTTCATTGGTTACACGCAGTGAATTATTGGCAGGTGACCAAATTGTTTTGGTCTTTAACGACTTCATGTGTATAATGAGGGATGTATCTAAATTTATTCATAGGGTCCCTACAAGACCATAGGTTCTCATTGTCAAAGTCATAGATAGCCATTCTTCTGCACATAAGGGACACTAAAAAGTACCCCCTTATTTTCTGGCTGGGATCTCTGAATGCTCACACTGTATGATTTGGTGGGGCTCTCATGCCATCTGTTCTAGGCCTCTATTTACTCTTGGTTTAAAGAACCTAGAGTCCAAAGGTGCATGAATAATGCAAGTCATATTTTAGATAAAATAATACAGATAACAACTGTACTTAACAGTATGAACAAAATCATGCAAACAAAACCAAAATTGATATCTGACCAGGGAGAAAGGACTTAGGAAATATATCAGTACATAAATAGTGAATTTTTATTTGGATGTGTTGCAGGAATGTGCGTAGTATTTTTTTCTCTGTGTTTTAACTTTTTCCTACCTGTGCATTTCTTAGAATCAGTAGCTTTGTCAGCATGCACTCAGAGAAACCATGGAAGCATATTTAGTAATAAAATTGTTATTCTTATAGACAAATATAATCGTTTAGGAACTAGCATGGCCCTTTTATTCTCAAAACTAGCCTCAGTCATTGACGATGATTGCTATTTAAAGGTGTAGAGGGAAATATTTGGGGAATTGTCTGCGTATTTCAAAGTACCCTTAAAAATTTAAATCAGACAAACTGGATAAATTAGACATCCTCAAGTACTAATAGGCAGGTCTGCTCTAAGAATAGTAGAAGGTAGAAGAAATTAATGGTTACGAGAGGGGTAGAGGAAATTAAAGTTAATAACTAAAGATATTGCACTAGTTTGTTTTTGCATTGCTATAAAGAAACACCTGAGACTTCGTAATTTATAAAGAAAAGAGGTTTAATTAGCTCACCGTTCTGCAGGCTGAACAGGAAATGTAGTGACATCTGCTTCTGGGGAGGCCCCAAGAAGCTTCTAATTATGGCAGAAGGCAAAGGGGCAGCAGGCATCTCATATGATGGGAGCAGGAGCAAGAGAGAGTGGTGTCACACTTTTAAAAGAGATCTCATGAGAAGTCACACAGTATAGCGAGGACATCACTGAGGGAATGGTGCTAAACAATTCATGAGGGATCCCCTGCCATGGTCCAATCACCTCCCACCAAGCCCCACCTTCAAAATTGGGGATTACATTTCAACATGAGATTTGGGTGGGGACACGCATCCAATCTGGATTGCATATCCTCATCAAAATGTCAATACTTTTATTTTGATAGTGTTACTATCATTAACTATGTACAGTACTTTATTGTTAACAATTTTTTTCTCCAGCATAATACTGTTTAGTATGACATTACTGTAAATTATTATAAATGTCTTAAAGATTATTAATTTCAGAATGTATGATGTATTGCCTTTAAAAATGAACATGGACTTTTTAAACTAATATAGGTATAGGAAGAAATAAAATCTCATTCCTTGACAAATACTAATAAAACTTATTATTGAGAATAAAATAAACAGTACTTATATTATGTCAGATATTCTGCTAAGTCTTTTGCATGCGTTATTTCATTTTTTAAAATCACAGTGGCCTTATAGGGTTGGTATAATGATCCCCATTTTACAAATGAAGAAAATGAGACCCAGACACACTATACAATTTCCCCAGATTCAGTCAGAAAATAAATGGTAGAGCTGAAAATGTACTCACATCCTAAAGGCTAAAGCCTTTATTATGATAAAACTCTGTGAGATGACACACATTTTGATGACTGCATTAGTTTAAAGGAAATTTTTTTCATGGATTTTGCCTTCGTTTTGCTTTGTTTTGCTAGTGAAATTGGTCCTGCTAAGCAGTATAACACAAAATGAGACCTCAGATCTAAAATTCAGAGAGCTCTAAAATCACCAAACTAATCTAATAAAAGAAAATACAGATTTTACCGAAATTTAATAGGAGTTAGTTAATATAAATGTTTGAAATAATAAACATCCCCAGAACTATCTAACAGCATGTGTTATAATGTCCGTTTGAACTGATTTTAAATGAATAGAATGTTTTTCATTCCCTCCTGTACTGAGAGCGCTTGCCTTTGAGTGTTTTAATATGTCAGGGATCATTTATATTCTCAAAAATATATTACATTTATTTGGTTTCATTCTTTATCTTTCAACCGTGTTTTAAATATTTACAATTTCAGCAAATTTGAATTTTTTTTGTCTTTAAAATGCCTCTCCAAAGGTTTTGAAATCTCTATGTGTTTGTGTGTGTGTATGTATGGCTTTTATTGGCCACTGATCCAAGTCGCTCCAACCTTAGAGAGGTGGAAAAATGGTGAGAATATGGATTATGAAGGGACAAAAGGATGGAAGCCAAAAAAAATACAATTCATAAAAGGTCCTGGAATCTTTCCTACACAAATGCCCAGAGGCCTCCTCATTCTCAGGTACTGCTCTCTGCAGGATGAACCTTTCACCTCCACTCCCATCCAGCTCTAGGAGTGATCCTCCAGAAGAATAATGGGACTTTTAGTGATTCCCTGTAGCCAATAGCCAAGCGGCAGCAGAATGGTACATACAGAACAGGTGAAGATTTCTTAAGCACCAGCAGTGATTAGAACACAGTGGGATAAGGTCAAACAGAGCAGCAGATGGCTAAAATTATATGTGAAAGTCGTTTTATAATTGTGAAGAACTTGGTGGTGGTGCACAAATCCACATTCTGTGTTATTCAGGTACCTAACATCAATCCTCCTGGTTTGGAAGACTTCAGATTTCACAGTTTAGTAATCACCATGCTTTAGCAATGGTACTTGCTTTTATTTAGCGGCACTGTAATAAAGATTACTCTTAATTTAAAGTATACCCCTTATATAGTAGCTTTTTCGTTTCATTTTAGGTTTTAATATATTTGTTACTGTAGCTAAATACATAAATGGATAGGTAAATATATAGCTAGATGGATATAACCAACCGAAAGATACATGAGACCATTTTTAGTAACATTATTCTATTATTGCATATATTTCATATACTATGTACATCATGGACAACCTTGATGATGAGACTCAGGCAATCTGATTAAATATTGGGTTTATTCACAGTTTGTAAATATTGGGTTTATTCAAAGTTTGTGAACTCAGGAGGACACAGACTCCAAAAGGAAAGGGTCAGTGCTCCAAAGAGGGAATGTTTGAAGATCATTTAAGCAGGAAAGTTCTGGGGAAGATTAAAAAGATTACATTATTTTTCCATAGAGGGTTAGTGAATAGTTACAACAATTTGCTTAGTTATATGCAGCATTTCTTTTTTTTTGAAAGGCATATTTAACATTCTATATTAAAGAAAGACGTAATAGTCAAGGGGTCTTTTGTCTCAGTCAAGGGGTCTTTTTTTATGTCAGGGCCACGTGGTCTTAGCCATAAAAAAGGAAATTCGGAAGGAAGTTAATCTATTTTTGAAAGGTCAGTAATTAAAAGTTCAAGCTGTGTGACTCAGTTTCCAAAGTCAACAATCTTCAGGGCCTAATAACTTTTAGAAACTCCAAATAGACACACTATCCATTTGCTTTCACATCATCAATTATGTATTTAAAAAGAACTTTGTTTCTGTATACATTATTATATGTATTATATATGTGTATATACATATCTGTATACACATGTATAGTTGACCCTTGAACAACATGGGTTTGAACTGTCTCGGTCCATTTACATGCAGTTTTTTACAATAAATGTATTGGAAAATTTTTTGGAGATCTTTGAGTTTTTGGGTTTGAACTGCATTGATCCATTTATATGCAATTTTTTATAATATATTGGAAAATATTTTTTGGAGATCTATGAGTCTTTAAAAATTCACAGGTGAACTGTGTAGCCTAGAAATATCAAAAAATTAAGGAAAAGTTAGGCATGTCATGAATACATAAAATCTGTGTAGATACTAGCCTATTTCATCATTAACTACCATAAAATATGCACAAATTTACTATAAAAAGTTAAAAGTTGTTAAAACTTACACAAACACAGACCATAGGTGGCATCATTTGCAGTCAAGAGACACATAAACAAATGTAAAGATGTAGTATTATGTCTTCACTGCATACCATTCACTATAGCACATACTGTAAAACTGTAATAAGTTTGTAGTTGCTTCTTGTTGCTATCGTGGTGAGCCCAAATGTTGAGCGTGTTTGCTTAAAATACGTGTGATACTAATCATCTCCATGTAAGCATTTTGCCTCTCCAGTAAATTGTATATCCAGTAAAAAGTGATCTCTCTCTCTTGCTGTTCTTATATATTTTTCATTGTGTTTAGTGCAGTACCTTAAACCTTGCATAACACCATGGGACCCATACAAAGTTCTGCTAGTGATGCTGGAAGTGCTCCCAAGAAGCAGAGAAAAGTCCTGACATTATAAGAAAAAGTTAAATTGCTTGATATATACCGTGGATTGAGGCCTGCAGCTGCGGGTGCCTGCCATTTCAGACACAATTCATCTTGTAAACAGATGACATAAACTTATGGTATTGATAAATAAAGCACAGTACTTCAAATGTATTTTCTCTTCCTTATGACTTCCTTAAGAACATTTGCTTTTCTCTAGCTTATCTTATTGTAATAATACAATATCTGATACATATACCAAATATGTGTTAATCTACTATTTATGTTATCTTAAGGCTTCTGGTCAACATTAGGCTATTAGTAATTAAATTTGATGGGAGTTAAAAGTTATACCTGAATTTTCAACTGTACAGGGGTCAGATTCCCTATAACTTCCACATTGTCCAAGGCTCGACTGTACATTACATATATATATATATGTTATAAAGACCAGCAAGATTTCAGACACAAGCAGTGAAGTCTGGACTTACAGATGTGTTGACTCTGGTTACTGTACATGTCTTGTCATCCCTTTGGCATTCAATCGTGTCACTTTACATTATCAGCTTGTATTTTAACATCTTCTTTTTTTCAACAAATATGCAGAATAGATTTTCTAAAAGTTCAGACATGGTACAAGACAAGCTTGTCCAACCCATGTCCCACAGGCCACATGTGGCCCAGGACAGCTTTGAATGCAGCCCAACACAAATTCATAAACTTTCTTAAAACATCATGAGTCTTTTTGTGATTTTTTTTAGCTCAACAGCTATTGTTAGTTTTAGTGTATTTTATGTGTATTGCAAGACAACTCTTTTTCTTCAAATGTGGCCCAGGGAAGCCAAAAGACTGGACACCCCTGGTGTAAGAGATGGTGGCATGGTAATCACAGTGCCTCTTTAATGTGTCATGGATACTCATTAATCATTCAACAACAGAAAATGGTTGGTCTCCTTTGCCCTCCTTAAAATGAGACATGGAGGATGAGCAGCATTTAAACCGGAAGAAAGGGAGCTTGGTGGGGAAGATATTTCAAGCAAAATGCATCAAAGTGAAGTTCTAGAGGTAGCTAAGTATGGTTTATGCACATCTTTGTTGAAACAGTATTCCTCAATGTTTTTTATATCATGGGAAACAGAAACTATGGTTTGTGAGATTTGAAGGAATACATAGAAGCATATCTTAGGCATATGAATGGGATATGCCTATATCAAAGAACAGTAATGTTCTTTGCTAGACCTCTGTGTTAGAGAATCATATACATGAACAAAAATATTAGGAAATCAAAAAAAGTAGATGGGGAAATGATTTCAGAGGGTTTCAATGGTGATAATGATGTCAACAAAAATAGCATCGACTATTTTTCCCTGAGGAGCCCAAAGTATTTCTGATACATACTTCCAGTCATAGATGGAACTGATTGAGCACAAGCTTAATTCTAACAGAAACAAAATGTGAGAACTTGAACTTTAAAAGAACATTTTCTATCCTGTAGAAAGCATGATCTAAATTTATAGTATGCCTGACAAGTGTGGATTTTTCACAATTCCCTGAAATACAGAAAATGAATTTAATTAATTGTGCTCCAAGGCTGAGTTCATACTTTGGCTTGAATTCATTAGCAAGTAGCATTTTAAAAAGGAAGTTTGGTTGTGGGTGTCTGTCCAATTTGGAAATATTTACCCATGGTCTTTATATTTAAAATGTGTTTTTGATTTTCAAATTCTGCAGATTATTTATATCCATATGCCTGTTCAGTTTGGTGTATTCATAACATGGTTCACACTGGCCTTGTATTTTCTCAGTTCACTGTATTTATCAGTTTCTCTCCGATTGTCTTAATCCATCCAGTCCTCCATTCCATTTCCTAGGCATTTTCTCCAAAGCCTTAATTTCTTTGTCTTCTTCTTCTGTGTTGACAGTGATTATTGAAAGCTTTTTCTTCATTCCACCAGGTTACCTGTTCAGAAATTGGGCTTCTAAAATAAGGCATTTAGCACCAAAATCTCTATTATTTGAATGGTTATTCCATGTTTTCACTGTTTTGTTGTTTCATTGTTTTTTGTTTATTTTGTTACATGTTTTTACTGAATTATTATTTTTATGAAGTTCTTCGATAGTGCAAAAATCTTGGGGAAAGTGTGCTTCCTTTTCTTTAAATACACTGTCTTTCAGAATTGGCTTTTACTTTCCTTGCTTTCTGAACCTTTATTTTCCTTCATTCCTGCTAACCCCCGACCTCCCATTTCTTTCTTCCTTTCTCTCTAGAATTTAAATAGTTATCAAGTTGCTTCTTTTCATTTGCTCATATTTATTTAAAGGGCAGCTTTGTCTGAAACTTCTACTCATCTGGATGCACTGAGGGATTGCTCTCTTTGACCCTATCCAAGATATTAACAATGTTTCTGTCTTTTCCCTGGGCTTCATGTGGATGCTAATTTTGCTTCTAACCACATTCCTGTATCCTGAGGGCAATGGGATAGGTTAGAGGCTAGCTTAGCTGTGGCCATGTCATATGTCAATCTAGCAAGACTAGATTATCTTTACCAAAATCTTATCAAAAATATCAAACATGGCCTTCTGCACCCAGCTACGTGCTATCCTGCTCATACAGCTTCACCCAATTTCTAAAACTCAGCATACTGCTCTAGAACTTTCTGACTCCACTGAGCTCCCATAGCAGTATGTTGGGGCTTCTCTTCTTAAAACTATTCCCTCAAGTAGTCTCCTCAGCTCTAAAAATTGAGTGGGAAAACCAGCAAGAATCTTCAGGGCTTTATTCCCTTCTGCTCCTCAATATTAACCCTGTGGAGAAGACATGGGGTTTGAGGCTTCACACGTCGTATCATAATTTATACTACTTTTCATGACAGCAATGTTAAAATACCTTGTGGCATAAGATCACACTCTAGTCCTTTTTTAGTTGCTGCTGTTGAACTTTGGGCTTTTATTAAAACATTAATTTCTATAGGTGTTGGGGAATAAGATTTGTAACCTGGCTTTACTTAATCATCTTTATCCAAAAAATATTTTAAAACAGCAACAGTTTGACATAAATGTAGCCTCAGAATTTTCAATATTAGAAGAATAAATAAGTTATAAATTTTGCCTATTTCTATATTGCCAGATAGAATTTTAAGACCACAAGACATCATGAAATTTAAATTAAAACATGTCCAGTAGGAAAAAAGGTTTTGTCACTTAGGTAACATGACTAACATCCTAATATGCTTTCTCGCATTTTTTTAACATAAGGCAATCCATTGAGCAAATCACACCAACATTTTTTTTTCATCATTCTTAAATGTCTCTCTTCTAGAAAGGGTGAAGCATATAAAATCACCTTGTTATTAAAGGAGTTAAGAAAGAAGTCTGCAGAAATCAGTTTGGAGGAATATTGAATCTAGTGTTTTGTTTTTTCATAGAAACTTTAGAAGGCATGATGGTGATTATACACATAAGGAAATAAAGAATGGCTGTATTAGGTCTTAATTAGTGATTATAACAGTGGCAAAATAACAGAAGTTGAATGGGTCCTTACATCTCACTTCAGAGAAAAGTGTAAACTGCAGTCAATACAAACTGATTTGGGTTAGCAGTCCTATTATTCTCAGTTGCCCAGAGAATGAAGAAAATGTTCTTTATCCCATCGCTAAGAGCAGCTACAGTGAGGCATCCTCTCTTGGGGCGCTGTCTACCCTTCATGCCTCTAGAGATTCTTGGACTCTTTGCTGTCTTCACTGAGTTTTAGTTCACTGGGGGATAAATTCTTATAATTTCTTTCCAGGTTTAAAATAATACCTGCCTATATTTATTTGACATTATACAGAAAAATTTTGGAAGATCTTCTTATGTAAAATTTATATTCTGTGGAGTTGAAGCTATATTATGATTTTATAATTTTCTGGAATATATCATTTTACCCCACTTTTAACAGTTTGCGAATCATGGATTCTATTGTAGTCTCCTCCTTTCTCAAGTCAGTTCACATCTTGACAAATTTTTTATTAATCAGGATTATACAATGTTGATCCAGTCTGTCTGGAGGCTATTAAGAAGCATTAATGGAATAAAAGGGATATTAATTTATCATCAATTATTTAAATGGACTGTTTCTTAAACCAGTCTGTGTTTTAATATAACTTGGGCCTATGGAACCTTCGTAGTTGCTATTAAATAAGAAATATATGTGATGTATGTTATACAACATATAAGGTATATATTATCTATACACTTTTCATTTATTTCAATACAGAAGGTTTTCCATTTAATTCCACAGGTATTTTTTAAGCACTAACTGTATGCATAGGTACTGTATATAAATACAATGTAAGTAGAAGCTGCAGCCCATGTTTTGAGGATGTGAAGTCTACATGTGTAGAGCAAATGTGTGAAAATTATGAAACCATTTAAATATATATTGATCAAAGCATGTAGGCAATGTTTTGCCTGTCTTGAAAGCTTAGAACCTTAGCCTGACTTATGAAACTTACTAGATATTTACCCGTGGGATAAACCATCATTCCTCCTTGAGCCTGATTAAGCTCTCTTTATGAAGACATTATGGATAAAGTGTCAAAATGGTGCCTGGTTTGGAGTAGCTTCTCAATAGCCATTACTTTTCTGCAAGCCTGATGAAGCATCTCACATCACAAGAGACTTTCAGATGTCTGTGTATTGTGGTGGAAAACCAACTCCCATTCCTTTGCAAGGCCAGAAGCAAAAGCTGCCATGAGGAGGTGGTCTTAACATGGCCTGGCACATGTAAGCTGTTAACTCACTAGGAAGGAACAAGTTTGCAACTGGTGCAGGAGAATGTCTCAGTGATGAGCAAGACTTCTGCAGTGAGTCCACAAGTATGTCTTTATGCCTGGAATTCATTATCAAGGAATTCAGAAATGTTTTCTGAGAAGAAATCCACCTCGGTACCCTGCATATTTCAGTACACCTTGACCTGAGCAGAAGATACACTGAGACCTGCCAAGTTCTGAGCATGAAAAGCTTTAATTCATTGTGTTAAATGGCAAAACCAAGCAACTGGTGATTTATGGCTGCAAATTATCATGTTGTTCATTAGTGGTAATTACTACTCAACCCTGAAATAAAACGGCAATCAGTATGCTAAAATGAGAACACCCACGCTAACTCCTTGCTGTTCACCTGCAATCCTCTCTGTCTGTCTCACTTTCCAAGGGAAGAGAAAAAAGACTGAGGGAATCCAGGTGCATGTACTATGGACAGAGATGAGCTTCTGGCCATACTAAACTGCTTCAGTGGCTCCTGTCAGGCAAAGGAGCTTAGCTCCATCCCTAGATGCTCTCTGTTCACAATGAGATAAGAGATTTGTGTTTGGACATACTCTGGGAATGCTCAGATTGCTTTCAGCGACTGGAGCTGTGGCAGTCAGGAGGGAGAGGAAGCCAATGGAGGTAGTGTAGTGAGTAGACACCACGCCCTCAGCGACTGGAGCTGTGGCAGTCAGGAGGGAGAGGCAGCCAATGGAGGTAGTGTGGTGAGTAGACACCACGCCCCAGATGACTGTAGCTCCCGTGGACCCCATTAGCACTGTCCTCCAGTAGTCTCTTCAGGCTATATGCCTGGCTGACCATCAGGAAACTGAGGCCATGCCTTGCGTAGAAAGACTTAATTTCACTTTTGAACAGATGGCCAGAAACCATGCAATTTCACCTGCTGTATCTGTTAATGTCACACTAAACAGCTATGAAGTAAAAACTCCCATGCAAACAGGTTTTCATTTTATTTCTGTCACAATTATTACCTCCTAGAGATGACCTTCAATGCAGAGAAATGGATTTTTGACTTTAACATAATGAATCTTATGAGCAGTTCACACAGGCATTCTGAAGAACAATACAGGTTGAACATCCCTAATCTGAAAATTCAAACTCCAAAATGCTCCAAAATCTAAGATTCTTGATCATTGACATGATGCTACAACTGGAAACTTTTACACCCGACCTCATGTGACAGGTTGCAGTCAAAACACAAGCACACCTCTCATAGTTTATTCAGTGACCCCAAGGGGAAAAAAAAAGACCCTCCAAGTACCATTCACTTGTGATAGGTATTTTCTGTGCACACCTAGATACTCCCACACAAGTATGCCCACAATGGTAATAAAATGACACATGTGCAGACCAGAAGCACCAGCAGTAGGTTCCTAATGATGTTCCACATGAGGCCAAGACCTACGTTCATTACTCACTGAAGTTTTTGGCTTATGCTATGCTCTGTGATATCAAGGATGTGATGATATTTGTTGAAAATGTCAAAAAAGCCTGTAGATACCTCTATGAGTAACAGTGATAAGAACAAGAAGAAGGATTTATGTTAATTTAGAACACAGAAAGTCAAGCTGTTGGAGAAACTGAACAGCAGTGTAAGTGTGAACCATCTTACAGAAGTGTATGATGGTAGAATGGCTACCATATATGACTTGAAGAAACAGAAGGATAAACTGTTGAAATTCTATGCTGAAAGTGATAAACAGAAGTTAATGAAAAATAGAAAAACACTCTAAAGCGAAAACTGAAGGTCTTGATTGCATATTGAAAGAGTGGATCCAGTAGTGTCATGGTAAACATATGACAATCATATTCTGGCCATGAAACAAGAAAATACCAATTACAATGAGCTGAAAAATTATAGAGAACTGTGAAGATTCAACACGCTGGCTGCAGAAAATTTTTAAAAGACAAATTTGTAAAGACTTGTGATAAATCATCTGCTTATCATGAAGCAGAAGAGAAATTCATTGACAAGTTTGCCAATGTCATCACTGCTGAAAGTCTGACACCAGAATAAGTCTATAATGCTGATGTAACATAACGATTTTGGTGTTATTGCCCCAGAAAGAAACTGACTACAGCTAATGAACAGCTACTAGAGGAATTAAGAATGCCAAGGACAGAATAACTGCACCAGGATGTGCTAATGCAGCAGGCACGCTTAAGTGTAAACTTGCTGTGTTAGGCATAAGCTTGAGTCCTCAATGTTTTCAAAAGGCTAAGTTCTTACTTGTCTATTATTATGCTAGCAGGAAGGCATGAATCACCAGAGACATCTTCTCTATCTGGTTTTACAAACATTTGTACCAGTGGCTTATGCTCACTGCAAAGAAGCTGAACTGGATGAGGACTAGAAGATTTTTTTATTCCTTAACAACCGTTCTGTTCATCCTCCAGCTGAAATTCTAAAAAATAATGTTTATGTCATGTACTTTCCCCCAAATATGACTTCATTAATTTGGCCATGTGACCAGGGTATCCTTAGATCAATGATGAGTAAATATAAAAACACTTTATTGAGCAGAATGCTAACAGCAGTGAACAGTAGTCTGGGTATGGAAGGGTTTCAAAAGGAGTTTAGCATAAAGAATGCTGTATATGCTGTTGCCAACACTTGGAACATAGTAACTGAAGACACAGTTGTGCGTGCATGGCACAACATCTGGCCTATGGCTATGTTCAGTGACTATGTTTCAACCCTTCTTGCACAGATGGACTGACTTTAAAATATTGATTAATGGCAGCAGAATTAAATCCCTTTACAAAAATCATTGTCATTCTTTAAATAGGGTAGAGGGTTTACCTTCTGAATTTTCCATTTAGCATGGGTCAGAGGTAAATATATATGTATGCACGATCTTTGCAGTGAGAGAAATCAAAGAATATTAAGATCTCTTTATGCCTGCTAATTTTGAGTTGTGAATTTTTGAGTACGTCTAAAGAATGGGATATGGTTAAGTGGTTTATAAGCATTTTTTTTCAGTCCTTGATTCATCTTTTCATTATCTTTAAGGGCAGATATTTTTAATTTAAAAAAATCTAAAATTTTAATTTTTTCATTCATGGGTTGTGCCTTTGGCATTATATCTAAAAGCTCAACACGAAACCCCAGGTAACATAGATTCTTTCTGGAAAGTTACAAGCTATTAATTTAATTCTTTTAATAAATGTAGTCCTATTCAGATTATCTACTTCTGGTTTTTGTAGATTATGTCTTTTAAGGCATTGATCAATTTTATATAATTTATAAAATTTGTGGGCATACACTTGTTCATAATATTTATTATATTTTAATATTGATGAGATCAGTAGCAATGATCCTTCTTTCATTCTTTATATAGTAATTTTTGTCTTCTTTCATTTTTTTCTTAGTTAAACTGGCTTTTAGAGGTTTAACAATTCTATTTATCTTTTCAAAGAATCAGTTTTTCTTTTCATTAGTTTTCTTTATTGATTTCCTGTTTTCAATTTCATTGATATTGCTCTAGTTTTTATTATTTCTCTTCTTCTGATTACTGTAGATATTGATCTTCCTTTTCTAGTTTTTAAGGTAGAAACTTAGATTAATATTTAGATCTTTCTTCTTTTCTAATATATTCATTAAATATTATAAATTTCCCTCTAAGAACTGCTTTTGTTGCATTGCACAAATTTTGATGAGTTGTATTTTCATTTTTCTTTAATTCATTTTTATTTCAAATTTCTTTTGCCTCATCTCCTTTGATTCATGTGTTTCTTATTTATATTTTAATCCCATAATGATCTGAGAGAATACTTTGTATGATTTATATAATTTTCATGTGTTAAGATATGTTTTGTGACCCAGAATTTGGTGAATATTTTATGTGAAATTGAGAAGAATGTGTATTCTGCTATGGTTAGATTAAGTCTTCTATAAATGTCAATTAGATCCAGTTGGTTGACAGTGCTATTCAGTCAACTACATCCTTACTGATAGCCTGCTTGCTGGATAGAAGGGTTCAAGTCTTTAACTAAAATAGTGAATTAATCTATTTCCCCTTGTAGTTCTTCTAGTTTTAGCCTTACATATTTTCATGCTGGGTTTACAGGCATCATACATTTTAAAAATTGTTATGTTTTCTGGAAAGTTGACTCCTTTATCATTATATAATGCTCCTTTTTATCCCTGATATTTTTTTCTTGCACTGACGTCTTCTGTCTTCTTTACCTGAAATTAATATAGTCACACCATATTATTTTGGATAAGTGTTAGCATGGTATATCTTACTCCACCATTTATGGCACCCACGCCATTATATTTAAAGTGAGTTTCCTAAAGACAATATATACTTTCATCTTGTTTTTAAAAATATACTTCGACAATTGCTTTTAATTGGTTTAGGCTATTTATATTTATAGTGATTTTTGAGATTTCTGGATTAATACCTATCATATTTGTAAATGTTTTTTAGTAATTGATGACCTGGGTTTTTGTTTCTTTTTCTTTGCCTTCCATTTTGTTTTTTCATTTTTGGATCTAATTAAGTATTTTATATGATGGTATTTTATCTTCTCTGTTAGCATATCAATTATGTTTTCTAGATATATTTTGTTAGTGATTCCCTACAGTGTGCTGTACATTTACAACTAATCTATGCCTACTTTCAAATAATACTGCTCTTGACTAGTATAGATAACTTATAAAAAGTACTTCCGGCCGGGTGCGGTGGCTCACACCTGTAATCCCAGCACTTTGGGAGGCCGAGGCAGGTGGATCTCAAAGTCAGGAGATCGAGACCATCCTGGCTAACACGGTGAAACCCCGTCTCTACTAAAAATACAAAATAATTAGCCGGGCGTGGTGCAGGCACCTGTAGTCCCAGCTACTCTGGAGGCTGAGGCAGGAGAATGGCTTGAACCTGGGAGGCAGAGCTTGCAGTGAGCTGGGATCATGCCACTGCACTCCAGCCTGGGTGACAGAGCGAGACTCAATATTTTTAAAAAAAGAAAAAAAGTACTTCCAATTACTTATTTTCATCCCTTATAACATTGCTGTCATTCATTTCACTTATTCATAAACTATAACCACCCAGTTATCTGTTAGTTCAAATAAAAATAAGAAAAATAAACATTTTATTTTACCTTTATTTATTTTTTTCTGTACCTCTCTCCCTTTCCCTAAGTAGGTCTGAGTTTCTGACATATAATTTTCCTTCTTTCTGAAGAAGGCTTAACATTTTTTGCAAGGTATGTGTACTGGTGACAAATTTCCTTAATGTTTGCTTATCTGAGAAGGAATTTCTCCTTTACTTTTGTAGATTAAATTTCACTGGCTACAGAATTCTAAATTGGTGATGGTGGGTTTTGTTTTTCCATTAACATTTGAAATATTGACTGCCTTCTCTTGTTTTCATAGTTTCTGTGTGGAAGTCTGTAATACTTATACTTGGTTCTCTATAGGTGAGGTGTTTTCCCTTCCCACCATTGCACATTCCCAGTCTCTTTTCAGGATTTTGTTTTGATTTTGTGCAGATTTAACATGATGCATAATGTAGAGTATTTTCCATGGTTGGTATTCTCCAGCTTCCTGGATCTGTGGTTTTGCCTTCATCATTAATTTTGGAAGGTTGTCAGCTATTATTACTTCAAAACCTTTTCTATATGGTTTTCTCTTGATTTTCCTTCTCGTCTTCCTATAATGTGTGTTATATCTTTTTAAAATTGTCTCCTAGTTTTTCAATGTTCTGTTCCACTGTGTGTTTATTATTTTTCTCTTTGCTTTTCAGTTTTTAGTGTTGCTATTGATACATCTTTAAGCATACTGAGTCCTTCCTTGAGAATGTTAAATCCACTGATGATCATCAAAGGCATTTTTTACTTCCATTTCAGTTTTTTTTTTCTAGTACTTCCTTTGGATTATTTCTTAGAATTTTTATCTCTCTGCCTACATTACCCATCTGTTATTGCATGTTGTGTACTTTTTCATTAGATCCTTTGGCCTAACAATCAGTTAAATTCATTTTCTGATCATTTAAAAATCTCTGCTGTATCTGAGTTTGATTTTGATTCTCCCTTTGTCTCTTCAGATTTAATTTTTTTTTCTTTTTCTTTTTAGCATACCTTGTAGTTTTCTTGTGAAAAGCTAGACATGACATATTAGGTAAAAGGGATTGACATAAGTAAGCCTTTAGTGTGAGTTTTTAAGTAAGTTTTTTTCCTGTAGCTAGCAGTCAGTTTTTGTTTAATGTTAACTGTAGTTACAGGTGTCAGAGGCTAAAATTTCCTTCTGATGCCCTTGTTTTTGTCTTCCCTGTTGTCCTTGGACTTCCCTAGAGACTTCTTTCTAAATAAATTCTGAAACATGTGGTTTTTTGTTTCTATTCTCCTGTTATTGTGTAGGATCCCTGTTTATGTGTGGTAAGGTGTGCAGGAAAGAAAGTGTTTTATTATTCTATGATGAGAGCTCAATCCTCTAGTGGGCTTGAGCCCCAGAGGTGGGTCCTTCACAAGTGATTTTTAGCTTTTTTTTTTTTTCCCCACACCCCTCCCCTTACATGAGACAAGCTAGAGAGGTTTCAAATTAGGTATTTCCCTCCAATGTTGAATGTTAGAGGAAGCTGTAATTGGGTATTTCTCATGGTGGTTAGGTTCTGGTACAATAGTTTTCTCTGGGGAAAGGCCTTTGTTAAGGAGAACAGAACATTCTGAGTATATTTTAAATGAAAACTTTTTCTTTTCCCCTGCCAGATGCATTAGGGGATTTTCCTCATCTTCACCATGATAACCTCTAGAGGTTTATGGAAGGAAAACTTATGAAATCATGGGGATCCTTCTAAGGCTGGTCCTGCAGAAGTTTTTATATTTCAAGCTTGTCCACACCCAGTGTCCAACTGTTAGTCAAGTGATGTTGAAGTGTTTTAACTTGTTTCTGACTCCAGCAATGGCTTCTGCTCCCTGTAATCTATAACTGTATTTATCTTTCTCTGCAGTTTTTAAGGTAGCAGTTTGCCCTGTGACTTCCATTTTCCAAAGGCTCTAAGAAGACTTGTTCATTTTGTTTCACTTTGTTCTTTTTGGGAGGATAACAGCAATAACTGCTGAGCTCTTTACATGCCAAAAAAGAAACTAGGAGGTCTATGACCTGTTTTTGATAATCACATATGACTTTGTAGAAATCAGGAACAAGCTCTTTGACAATAATTAAGGAAATGTCAGTCAGATAATTTCATATTTGAAATACAGTAAATTTTTTAAAAACAAAATGTGTATCTTTTTAAAATAAACAATATTCCTGGCACACAGTGATGCTATATTTGCATATTCCCTTAAGAATTTAAATATTGTGTAATTTTTCTATTTGCTGTGGCAATAATACAATTGAGTGAATTCTTTTGCACTTCAAAGTAAAAAAAAAATTAGACACAAAATGTTCCTAGTGAGATTTTGGCTAATCTGATAGACCCATATGTAAATGTGCTGTACAAAAGTCTGAATATTTTAAAACTGTTAATGCATGAAGTCCATTTTAGGTTGGTTCCACAACCTAAATGATACTCACTAAACCTAAAAAATTCAGATGATAATTTTTATTATAAACATTGGGGAATATATACATGCATTTTCAGTTTCTCTCATATTTCAATTTCTGTGATCTTATAAATTCAACAAACGTTTATTTTTCTGAAATAAAGACATTTATACTCAATAAAATACTGTAATATTACAGATCTCCTGAATAAGGCTCTTTCTAGTGCTAGATCTCAGTAGCCTTTTTTATTTGTTCAGAGAATGGAGGAAGGCAAAAAAATCCAAAAAATATATCATGTTCTATTTGTATAAGGCTTTACATTGGATAAAAGAACACTATTGATATCTGAATAGAACTGTTATGACTTATTTGTTGTTCTTGTCATTGTTTTACTTCTTTAAGGTTGGGGCAATGCCTGAGCACACTGGTTTACACCTGTGATTTCAGCACTTTGGGAGGCCAAGTTAGGAGGATTGCTTGAGCCCAGAAGTTCAAGACCAGCCTGGACAACACAGCAAGGCCCCATCTCTACAAAAATAAAATAAATTAGCTTGGCATGATGTCACATGCCTATGGTACCAGCTACTGAAAAGGCTGAGGTGGGAGTAATGCTTGAGCCTGGGAGGTCAAGGTTGTAGTGAGCCATACTTTCATTACTGTACTTCAGCCCGGGTGACAGAGCAAGACCTTGTCTCAAAAAGTAAAAAAGGTGGGGGAACAAAAATAAAAATTTCTGTACAGCAATGTAGCAAAGTTCCAGTATACCTTATATAATGTTAGTCACCTTTGTGTGAGATTCTCCTCTATTCAGAGATGTGAGTAAATAGATGCATATTAAGTACAATTGTACAGTATAAAGATCCCAGCAATTACATTTTTTTTTTTTTTGAGACAGAGCCTTGCTTGGTCGCTCAGGCTGGAGTGCAGTGGTGCAATCTCAGCTCCGCCTCCCAGGTTCAAGCGATTCTCCTGCTTCAGCCTCCCCAGTACCTAGGTCTATAGGCGCGTGCCACCACGCCCAGCTAATTTTTGTATTTTTAGTAGAGATGGAGTTTCACCATGTTGGCCAGGCTGGTCACAAACTCCTGACCTCAAGTGACCCACCTGCCTCAGCCTCCCAAAGTGCTGGGATTACAGGCGTAAGCCACTTCACCCAGCCAACATTTTAAAAAATGCCCTCTAAATCATAAAAATGTCCAACACTAATTTAAATTTTTCCCCTTGAATCAGTCAGAATTTCTCCTGTATAGGGATGCATTCTGACCGTAGCACACATTGGGAAAGTTTCCATTTCTACACAGTGGTGGTGCTTATACGCTCCTCAGGGAATGTAATCATACTGCTGAATTAATTGAGCTTTAAAAGACTTTGTCAGTAAGGAATTTGATAAGGGGGAAGAAAATTAAACAGGGTCCTAATATTGGCCCACTGGAGGAGAACTGAAATAATTACCGTGCAGTTTCCAATTCCATAATATCATGCCAGAGTGGCTGAACAAGCTCACAGAACTATCATTCCCTAGCTCAGGTTATGGTCTTAGTAAATCTCCTGAGTGTAACGTCTTGACCAAAACAGACACCAGTGGCTATGAAAAAGCCTTCACAATGAAGTCACAGGGATAAAATAAAAGCGACAGTCCAAGTTGAAATGCCACACAAGTCGGGCTTTCATTTAAGGACAATGCTTTCCTGCCCCTGTGCAGAGCCTGGTGTGCATTAGAGATGGATGGCTGATTTCCTAGTTAACCTGTAGCAGGTGGCACAACTGTATAACTGGGCCCTCTAGCCATAATCATTTTATTTTTCTGGTGCCTGTCCTTTCCCATTTCCCCATCCCTAACTCCTCTGATAGTTCAGTAACTTCATCTTCCTTGTTGGTGCTTGGAGTCATGACTGGACCATATTTCTGGTGTATTTTATAGCATCTTGAATATCCTGGAATAAAGTTTCTAAATAATGCTAATAATGAAGTCTCTTGCTGCCTAGAAGTCTTGGAGCTAGGAGCTTGGCTGCAAAACTCAAAGTAAAATTCAGAAAATGGTGTTGTCTTGGACTGAATTTAACAGAAACAATTCCTGCTTATGACTGTAGACTAGACTGTTAACTGGGCCTTGACATGGGATTGGCTTAGCCCCTTTATATTGGATTAAAATTGTATTTTTATATATACACACACCCCTGTGTGTATGTGGGATTGTGTGTGTGTGTGTGTGTGTATATATATATATATATATATATGTATGTATGTATCTCTCTCTATATATATACATACATATTCTTACATGTATGTATATTTTTTCCTGGGATTTGTCTTAAAACATTCTAGCAAAGCAAGAAACTGAAAGTTGACATTTTCCCCCTGAAATATGCTCTAATCACCAGTGACAGATTTAAAAATAAATGGCTGAGCTATTTAACTTGGCAAGATTACACACTCAAGAGCAGGTTTCATAAATATTTAACTTATCATTTCCATATTTTATACATGGCAAGCATTCACAGAGGCAGTGAGATCTGTGTGGAGAGAGAAAAGACTGCATTCAGATAGACCTGAGTTTGAATCCCCATTCAATACCATCCTCACTAGAAGACTGTCAGCAGGTATTTTCATCTTTCTCAGCCTTGTTTTCTGGTAAAATGGGCAACAAATTCACAAACCACAAGGTTATTTTGAAGGTTAAATAAAATATCAAACAAATACCATTGATGACAAGTACCTGACACATGAGAGTTGCTTGGGAAAGTAAGTTATCTTCTCTTTTACCAATATTCAAGATACTGTGGAGTTGCTTGGCACTGGCAGTATGAGTACATTCTGCCAACTTACGTGGCAAGTTGATTAATGGATATGACCATTATAACCTGGTCTTAGAGAGGGTTCAGCTAACCGTTAAAGATGCCCAGTTTCACTGTGCCTGAAGCCTCCCCTCCCACTTTCTTGGCCCTAAGGAAAAGTCCTGATATCCATCGGTTATTTATTTTCAACTCCTGGGATTCCTTCCCATGATTACAGTAGTTTGATCTCTCAATGTGACAAGAAAAGCTGAATTATTGAAGAAAAATCTCCCAGTCCTTCAAGTGTAATTTTTTTAGATTAAAAGGAGCAACCGCATTTAGAATGCTTATGCTAAAATGTATTCATTGTTTAGTTGGAATTCAAATGAACTGGGTGTCCTGTAATTTGTCTAGTAATCCTACCTGTTCTAGGTTTCTGAAATCACTGCTTTAAGGCAGGCCCAATGCCTTTAAACCAATCACTGGGCCCCAGTAAGCCTTTTATCTGGTAGGTAAGCTGAATAGGGGTGGAGTGTGTGTGTGTGTGTGTGTGTGTGTGTGTGTGTGTGTATGTGTGTGTGTTCCTATTACAAGTAATAAATGAAAAAGTCATCTCCATTTTCTCAAAGCAGCATCAACTTTAGAATGAGAAAGTTGCATAATTGAGATGAGAACCTACCACTGTCTTTCTGACCTAGGTTATATACATTTAGCATTGTACATACGTGTGCACCCTTCTGCAGTATACATCTAGACTGGCAATTGACGGAGATATGCTCCAAGAGAGCAAAGCAGTTTCTCCTTAAGCCTACTTCTAGTCTGGCCTGCTAACTACCTATTAATGTTTTTCTGAAATTTAAAATTAAATGACACTAGAGTGAAATAAGCAACCAGCGATTATAGGGAATAAAAGGTACTCTGAACACATGGGAGTGATGATAGAGTCTATGCATCCCAGGCACAACCACTGATCTTCCACTATGCATGAATAAACCTTTTAAGACTCTCAGCTACTTTAAAATATTTTGCCTTTCCCAACCTTAAAATATTTTTTCAGATGATCCCTAGGAAAAAACAGTGTCTGGAACCACAAGCCATTATGAAATCCTTATTAAGTACACATGTAGGAAAGGAAAGTCATCAATGCATTTCTTGGCTAACACAAATGTAGATCAGAAAGACTTGGAGTAAAATCTCTGCAACTTTACACAAAGTGAAGAATACCATAATTTGTATCAATATCCATGCTATTCACGTGACTGCCCTTTCACCACTTGAGAATCGTGTAAAAATTTGCTCAGCTGGAAAAGAACATGACTTCTGAAGAATTTTAGAGATGACCAAATGAAAACAAAAATTTCTCAAATTACTGTCTTATGATAGTGAGAATGAAAAAAAAAAGCACAGATAGGAACTAGAGCCAAAGATGGATTAGAACAGAAAAATAAAAGATGTTTGAAAATGAAAATAGAAAAATTTCCAGTTTCTGATTCAACATGTAAGAAGATCAGAAGTTGTCATTCCCATACTTATGACATGTAAAAGTTGGACAAACTAAAACTCAGGGACTTTTCTTGGACTCACCAGACACCTGAGTTTGTGAAAATGAATTCTGAAAAACTAGAGGCTGAAGGAACTGTACGTAAGTACTGTACTCTAGTTGATAAAGTACTGTACTCTAGTTGATAAAGTACTTATTTTCCATGGAGATATGGGTTAACAGTTCTGAAATCATATCATATATAGTATAATTGAATGTTTTAAGAAACTGATGGTAGTTGGTGGAAGCCAGATTTGTTGAAGTGAGAGTTTAGAGATGAGTAAGGGGAGGAGACTAGAATGATCCATGTGGTAATTAATGGAGTAGAGTTGGATACAACAGCATGAACTCCTATTTAGATCGACATATATATCAATGTTTACATATGGAAACATTTATAGATATGCATATATACATGGAATAGCATATTCACATGCAGATCTTTGCCCTGTCAGTTGAGAGAGCCTAGAAGCAACGACACCCCAGTATCTATGAGCACACCTGTAACTCAGATCTTGGTTTCTAAAACTATTTTCCAATTTTTACTGGAGCCAGGGTCCCTTGAAAAAATAAGTGGCTTATTCTAGGACTACAGCAGGGAATATACAAGATGAGCTGGAGCAGCTTGCCAGGAAATATAAAAAATGCTAAAAAAATGACAATGATATGGGCATGTCATAATATTCAGAAGCCAACTGGAAGAGTTCCCAATTTTCAAAGCTGGAACAATTTGAGCAACAAAATAAAGTTAGATTGGACTGTAACCCAGTGTATTAAATGGAAATCCATGTGCATATGTTGGTATAAAAAATGATTCCATAAGTAAATAAACGGGAAAAATAGACAAATCTCTCATGCAGAAAAATTTCAAATAATTTATTTTGCTACTCCATCTACATAAATAATTGAGATGAAACGTAACTTCTTACTCCTTAAATGTAGGCTACACATAGTGACTTTTCTTCCAGAGAGCAGTGTATGGAAACAGAAAAAAAAAAAGTAACATTACAATTGAGAAACCTGACAAGCACATGTCAAGTAAGGTGATCAAGGTTAATATCAACAGTGATAAGTCATATTGATATGCTATTATAATAGCACTCTATTTCTCTGGTTTTCTCTCAGAAATAAATTACCCTAGTCTAGTCATGAGAAAATCATCAGCCAAGTCCCGATTGAGGAACATTCTACAAAATACCCAACCAGTAATTCTCAAAAGTGTCAAGGTGATTAAAAACAAGAAATGTCTGACAAACTGTCATAAACAAGGAGAGCCTGAGGAAACTATTAAATGTGATGTGGCATTCCAGATGAGGGATTTGAATAGAAAAACAGCATTGTTTAAAAACTGAGGAAATCTGAATGAAGTATAGACTTTAGTTAATATTGCTTCAGTGTTGATTCATTCATTGTGACGAACGTACTGTACTAATGTAAGATGTTGATAGGTGAAACTTGGTATGGAATATAAGTGAAATTTCTCTACTATCTTCACAATAATTCTGTGAGCCTAAAACTATTCTAAAATAAAATATTTAAACACTACAAATAGAATAAAGAGAAAACATGTAAACCATTATTTATTTCATCAGTTTACTTGTTTTGAAAATAATTCTGTGCTTCTTCTATTTCCTGAATTTTATAAGAAATAAATATGTGAGAAAATTCAACAACCAGTACTCAACCAAGTCAGGTGTGAAGATACTCACTTTTCATCTTCTTTGCATCCCAACATAATTATTTCAGCTTTAGAGAATGTGGTTTTGTTGAGGCAAAAGTATATTTTGAATGCTGATGATGTAGGTTTGTGTGGAATTCCTATTAAGGAATGATCAAATGATCTGGAAAGTAGCAACTGTTTTTGAGATTCTTATTTAAAGATTTAAATAATTTCATGGACATTAAAGTATTTTGTAAACTATATAGATTTCAGTATAAATATAAATCATTGTTATCGTGTATGAACTCATTAATTTATTTTTTCATTAAAAGATAAGCTTTTATACATTGTCTTCTCCACCCCCACCACCCGCCACCTCTCTATATATATAGAGACTGGGGGGAAGAGAACCGGAAGAGGATGTATAATATTCTATATATATATATGTACATATTTTTTAACCAAGCCCTATGCACTGAACAGAACTACAATTTCAGTTTTGAAACTGTCTTTCTGAACTATTTTACTCCTCATCGGGCAGCCCCGTGGAGGTTTTACTGTTTAAGTTTTACTTCCTATTTCTCCTGAGAGTATAGAATGGCATTGAAATGGCAGAGCCATTCAAACCATCTGAATTGATCCAATATTTCAATTCTTCCAACTTTTTTGGTGCCTTTTAGGATAAGGCTATTTCTTTACCTATGTCTGTCTTTCAGGAGCAGGTTCTTGCATCAGATCAATTTTGTGAACTGGTTTGTTTCACCTGTGAATGAGTTACAGGTCCTGTATATCATGGTCCTTCTAGGACCCACCCTCATCTTGATAAACAGACGCTGGAGGTTTAGATGCACCTGTGGATGATAGAGGACACTCAACTTTGCAAATGGAATGTGTTGTCTGGAGGATGCCATCATAGAAACATGTGGTTCCACTTAGTATTTAGTGTTTTGAACAGATATTGAGGAGCAGGAGACCCTGAAAGGTCTCCATAGTGAGAGTGTGCCAACCAGAGGGCATGTTACTTCTTTTTTACATTCAGTTGTCTCACTAGCACCTCAAACTCAACATAGCCAAGTTGAAATTATCATCCTCCTTCCATATTGTCCCATCCCCCTATTCCTGATGAATGACATCACCATCCATCCATTGACCAAATTGCAATCGTATGAGTCATCTTTGACACCTCCTCCTCTCTCTCATCTGACTTGCAATCCCCAAATCCAGTTGATTCCAATGTTCCTAAACATCTCTCAGAGTATTCAATGCCATTTGACTCGGCAGGGAAATGTGATAAACAATAAAGCTACTGTAACAGCTTACTAATATTGACCAAAGGTCATCCCCTTCCAATCCATTCTCCACAGAACAAAGCCATTCTAAAATACAAAGATGATCATGCCACTTCCTGCAATCTCCCAGCCATGCCCATTGTATGACTCCTATGCTGAATGACTTTAAGTTTCTTTAATATTACATGCTCTCTTTCCCACTGTGGGTTCTACAGATGCTGTTTGCTGTGTCTGAAACATCCTACTGTTCCTCTCTCCACTTACCAACTAAGCTTTCATCTTTCATCCTCCACCTAATCTCTACTCTCCTTTCAGGATCATCAGAGGTATTACCTCTTACAAATATCTTTCCCTGCCTTCCAAATCCTGTCTCCAAAGCCTGGATTATGTACTTATTATAGGTTCCCACATTGCACTCAGTACATTGTCTCCACCCTCTACTAGCTTGGAAAAATCTGCGAGAGCAAGAAGTATGTCTGTTCATGTTAGAGTTACCTCTAATGCCTGACTTGATACCTGACAACATAGTGTTGCTCAATCAATAATTGTAAATACCTGAATTATTAATGCATGAATAAATAAATGATTTGGTAAATATACAAATGTATGTATTAAAAACAGGAGAGAAAGAAATGGAAATATTTGTATAACCAGAACATCAGGCAATTAGCATTAGGAAAGCTTTTTTTTTCTTGTTTAAGTAGGTTAAAACAGGCCTTAAAAGACAAAAAATCGTGGAACATTAAGATCTCTCTCCTTTCCCCCCTCCTCCTTCTACCTGTGTGTGTGTGTGCACGCATATGTGCACTTGTTAAAGGTAGAGAGAGGGCCGGGCACAGAGGTCAGGTGGGCGGGTTGCTTGAGGTTAGGAGTTCAAGACCAGCCTGGCCAACATGGTGAAACCCCATCTCTACTAAAAAATACAAAAATTAGCTGGGCATGGTGGCAGGCACCTGTCATCCCAGCTACTCAGGAGGCTGAGACACGAGAATTGCTTGAAGCCAGGAGGCAGTGAGCCGAGATCATGCCAGTGTACTCCAGCCTGGGCAACATAGCGAGACTGTCTCAAAAAAAAAAAAAAAAAAAAAAAGGTAGAAAGAGATGGTGAGAGAAAATTGTTGGCAAGATTCCAGTTTCTTTCCACTAGAAGGCAGAAAGCACTAAACAAATGTCAAGGCAGGGACCTAGGTTTCCAGAACCCAAAAGGAGCATTGGGAGTTTGTCACTGAGACCTCAGAGGCAGAGCCCAAGACCAGAACCGAACTATTACTATGCGGACTTGATGTTCAATGAATCAATCGCCTAAGTATCCCTAAATGCTCCACTACCCTGTGCCTCTCTACAAACCCCATTATAATTCATTCCCAAGCCATGATCAGAATTGGCTCATCAGTTTGTGCGGTGGTAATGAGGAAGGGGTAGGAAGTTGGGATTCAGTGGGTCTACCATAAGGCAGAAGAGGAAGCAAATCAGACACATTCCAATGATATTATCTGTTTGGTTTTGCCCATATCTGATTTTCGAAGTCTTCTATGTACTGAAATCAAATATCTCACATTAAAAAAAAAAAAAAGCTTTTAAAGATTGTAGGTTGACACAGCATAGAATATCCCTTCCTTCTTCTAGACCAGTAGCATTCAAAGCTACCTGGTAGTGTAATTAAGATTTTACATATTTCAAGCTTCTTCACTGTAACTCACAGCAGCTTGGAAGGTAGGAGTAAGCTTCATGACAATGATCCTCTGCATTTTGATGGGTACAAGCTGTTCTTTGATATCATGGACACCCCAGCTTTTCAAAAGAAGATTCTTGGCTGTTTAGCAGTTCAGCCAATCCATGTAATTGCTTTTTCCATGTTACATAAGAGTAAAAGTCTCCTATAATTATAGGGATAAAAGAGACTTGATACTTTCCAGATCACCAGAGCAGGAAGAAAGAAGAAAAGCATGACTTTTTGGAGTGATTACTCATCACATGCCAGACACAATGCTGAAAACTTTGTATCCATCATATTTTTATGCCACGAAAACCCTGTACAGAAGACATAAGCACCCCCATTTTACAGATGAGGGCCCTGAGACTAGGGGAAGACAAAGAATTCCTCAAAGTTAGTTTACTTAGTACAAATTAGAATTGGTCTTTAAACTGACTCCAAGGAGGATGGCCTTTTTTACTCTACCACATCCCCTCTCCAACACTATTGGTTTGATTTTCTGTTACAGAAGTACAGGAAGACAGTGTTTCTTTTCTAGCTATGCAACAATGACATGTGGTGGTTGAAAGCATGGCCTCTGGAGCCAGACTGCCTGTGACCATTTACTTTTTCTTGAACTTGAACTTATACTTTAGTTTCTCTGTGCCCTAATCTTCTCAAGTGCAACTGGGGTTAATAATGGTCCCAGCACTGTTGAAAGGACTAAATGACTTTGCACCTATAAAGAGCTTTGTATTTTAAGTGCTCCATAAATATTCATGTTGTAGTTGTCATTGCTATTGTTGTTGTCTGTGAGGCCTTTTCACAGAGGCATGGCCTCGCAGAATAGGGACAAGCATGCTTTAATGCTACTCCTGTCTTCTTAATTCCCAGTAGCAGAAAAACTGGAAGACTCCTTTGCCAAGGGTTATTATTTTTTAATCAATCTACGTAGGGTTTATACATAGATGATGACAGAGAGAGGTAGGTACAGTTATTTATAGCCTGTGAGTCATTATGAAAAGTCACTCTTTCTTTGCTTGGTCAGAGCAGTGAGAATACATATATCTGCAACTCCATGTGTGTAGAACTAGCAGCTTAAACTGGAAAGATGACCTATTGCCTTAGTCTTTCCCAGAGAGAGGCTTGCCCTACACCCCCTTTTGCAGCCTGCCCAGGCTAATGCAACTAGCGATGGCAAGGCAAGCAGGGCAGGCTGCCATGCATTTTAGGGGATTTGAGCAGTCAGGCAGATCATTCAGGGAGAGATTGTTTTAAAGGTTTAGCTAAAAGCCATTTATCCACCTCATTTCAAGCACAGTATTGGCTCCAAAGTACAGTTGGTCCTCCATATCCATGGGTTCTGCATCCATGGATTCAACCAACTATGGATAGAAAATATTTGGAAAAGAAAACTCCACCAAGTTCCAAAAAACGAAACTTGAATTTGCCATATGCCAAATATATCAAATCCACGCTAATGAAGTGATGTGTAGGCATTGTATTAGGTATTATAAGTAATTCAGGAATGATTGAAAGTATATAGGAGGATATGTGTAGGCTATAGGCAAATAACACACCTTGTTGTATAAGAGACTTTAGTAGCCTTCAAGTTTGGTATCTACAGGGGATCCTGGAATCAATCCCCAAGCATATCCAGGGACAACTGTGCTATATTGTGATGAAGTTCCACCACTTAGCTTTATAGCTGAGGACTACAAGCTCCAATTATCTTAGGGAATATTCTGGTGACCAAATAAATAAAAACTTTCTAAAAAGTGATAGTCACTTGAGCATCCAAGAAGTATCTATCACATCCTTAAGTCATTCCATTTTCCTTTATATCTCTCTGGGTGAGCCATCTTGTCCTGAATACAATTTGTAATGCCGGGTAATTACTTCCTGACAGAAATTTCTTCCCATTTCATTCTCTGTGTGTTAAGCTCATTTGATTACAACAAACAAAACAAAATTCAGGGACATTGATTAATGCAATAAGAGCAAAATAAGTAATTAAAATTAACAAGTTTCTAACTTTGAGGCCTGGCCTCTCTCACAGAGTCTGTGGCAATATTAAAGTGTGATTCTAGCAGAATAAAAACAGTTCTTGTCTCCTGAAATGTGAATAATCCTCAGTAGATCTGCCTTTGGATTGGACATCCATTGAACATGTCTCAACTGCACTGTGTCTCTTTGTCTTTATTTTCTTTATCTTTGGGTCATTCCCCCAATTCTAACTGACCTTTGTTATCCTTCTGGTCTCCAGTTTAGTTTTCTGGGAAGGGCTCTCCCTGGCTCAGTTCCTCAGCACCATCACTACTTGAGCAGAGCTTTTCCACCTGAAGTGCTCAAAGGACTGCCCATCTGTCCTTGCTCAGGGACCCCCAACACGGACTGCAAGGCTTTAGAAGTTGAATCCCCAGCACAGAGCTCTAATCATAGGTGCCGCAGAGGCCTTGTCTCCTTGCTGGTGCTGAAGGGTGGTGGCTTCCATAGCCTGACAGTCTCTTTATTTACCCAGCACAATAAAGGAACTAACATTATTCTTGTGGCAATTCAAAAAAATACTTAAAAATTAGTTTGAGACATTATTTAAATTTTTATTATACATCCCCTGACAAAATAATTTTTATTTATGGAATGTATTTTTTTATTTTACTTTAAGTTCTGGGATACATGTGTAGAACATGCAGGTTTGTTACATAGGTATACACGGGCTATGGTGGTTTGCTGCACCTATCAACCTGTCATCATTATTTCTCCTAATGCTATCCCTCCCCTGGCCCCCACCCCCTGACAGGCCCTGGTGTGTGATGTTCCCCTTCCTGTGTCCATGTGTTCTCATTGTTCAACTCCCACTTATGAGTGAGAGCATGTGCTGTTTGGTTTTCTGTTCCTGTATTAGTTTGCTGAGAATGATGGTTTCCAGCTTCATCCATGTCCCTGCAAAGGACATGAACTCATCCTTTCATATGGCTGCATAGTATTCCACAGTGTATATGTGCCACATTTTCTTTATGCAGTCTATCATTGATGAGCATTTGGGTTTGTTCCAAGTCTTTGCTATTGTGAACAGTGCTGCAATAAACATACGTGTGCGTGTGTCTTTATAGTAGAGTGATTTATAATCCTTTGGCTATATACCCAGTACTGGGATGGTTGGGTCAAATGGTATTTCTGTTTCTAGATCCTTGAGGAATCACCACACTGTCATCCACAATGGTTGAACTAATTTATACTCCCACCAACAGTGTAAAAGCATTCCTGTGTCTCCATATCCTCTCCAGCATCTGTTGTTTCCTAACTTTTTAATGATTGCCATTCTAACTGGTATGAGATTGTATCTCATTGCAGTTTTGATTTGCATTTCTCTAATGACCAGTGATGATGAGCTTTTTTTCATATGTTTGCTGGCTATATAAATGTCTTCTGTTGAGGAGTGTCTGTTCATATCCTTTGCCTACTTTTTGATGGGTTTTTTTTTCTTGTAAATTTGTTTAAGTTATTTGTAGATTCTGCATATTAGTGCTTTGTCAGATGGATAGATTGCAAAAATTTTTTCCCATTCTATAGGTTGCCTGTTCACTCTGATGATAGTTTATTTTGCTGTGCAGAAGCTCTTTAGTTTAGTTAGATCCCATTTGTCAATTTTGGCTTTTGCTGCCATTGCTTTTGGTGTTTTAGTCATGAAGTCTTTGCCCATGCCTATGTCCTGGATGGTATTGCCTAGGTTTTCTTCTAGGGTTTTTATAGTTTTAGGTCTTAAGTTTAAGTCTTTAATCCATCTTGAGTTAATTTTTGTATAAGGTGTAATGAAGGGGTCCAGTTTCAGTTTTTCTGCATATGGCTAGCCAGTTCTCCCAACACCATTTATTTTTATCTATTTCAGGGATCAGCAGGTTTTTTTTTTTTTAAAAGTAAATCTCAAACTTGTTCAAAGAGTAAATATCTAGGCTTTGTTGACTTTTACTCAAGTCTGCTATTGTAGTACAAAAGCAACCATAGACAATACAAACAAATAGATGTGGCTGTACTCCAATAAAACTTTATTTACAAAAGCAGCTGTGTTTGGCCCCTGGGCTGTAATCTGTGGAGCCTGATCTTTCCCAGTGCATGTGTACCCATGCTGTGCTCACACCCCCTCACACTCCATACCCATTTTGTACATCTGTGTTCCTTTGTTGCCTATATTGCATAGCTCACTAATCTGAGAAGGCTGGATTTCACCGAATTGCATGGGAGTCCCACTGTTGTCAAGACACTCATGGTCTGTTAAGTGGAGGAAAAACATGAACTATCTATAGGAGAACCAATGTCTCAGAATCATCAACAAATGCATGCATTTGGGAGAAATTTCTAGTATTCTAAAATGGATCGTTTTATCCTAGAAATGGTGAGAATGGCACTCTCATCACACAAAGCACACATATCTGCTTAGGTACAGACATTTGCTGAATCCGAATTATAATGTCCTCTTCTGCCAACCCTGTAAGATGCTCACATGCTAATGGTAGGGGTGGAGGAATGGTATGAAACATGAAATATCTTCTGCTTTGACAACTGTCTTAACTCTGTTGTTCTCTCCTAAAATGAAGTTGTGCTTTGAGCCACTCTATCTAAAACTAGGCTGTCATTTCTATGTCCTAAGGGATGCAAGTACCGTTTTACCTTTCAGAAAGCAAATTTTAAAACAATCCCCAGGTATAAGATTTATCTTTCCGAGCAGAGGATCTGCAAACAGTGCCTGCGGACGTGTTTACTGGTTAAATTTTATTCCAACTATGAGCTACTAAGTCTTCCAGCAATTGTTCTTTCTTAACAAGTTTGTCTTCCTTGGTGACTGATGGTTTCTACTTGTTCACTTGATCAGTGTAGCATTTGATTCCAACAGAAATGTGCAGTGGCTCACCCCTGTAATCCCAGCACTTTGGGAGGCCGAGGCAAGAGGATCACTTGAGGTCAGGAGTTCAATACCAGCCAATGTGGTGAAACCCCATGTCTACTAAAAATACAAAAATTAGCCAGGCATGGTGGTTGGCACCTGTAATCACAGCTATGGTGGCTGAGGCAGGAGAATTGCTTGAAGGTGGGAGGCAGAGGTTGCAGTGAGCCGAGATTGTGCCACTGCACTCCAGCCTGGGAGACAGACCGAGACTCCATCTCAAAAAAAAAAAAAAAGGAAAAAGAAAAAAAATGAATCTTTATAATATACAACACAAAGAGGGATTTTGATGGGCTTTTAGTTCTCGCAGACCCCCCTGCTGGGTTGCCTAAACTTGTAGTGGCAATAGAGCATCCAGAATATCTGCCCATTTCTTCCTTAGGTACATGAGCTTCCCTGTGGCTTTAGATCGTTCATAATTGTTGGGTTCATCCAGGAGTGTCACTTTGTGAACTTTTTCTCAAGGTAATAACATGTGTGAGTAGCACGAGGCATTAAAAGAAAGAAGAGAGATGGGAGTGTCCTTTAGATGTCCTCAGTACTGTTGTTAGAACCTGCACACCAGTTTTTTATTCACAGTTTCCCCTTGTGTGGCAATTTATTTGCAGTGTAGCTGGTAATATTTGTGACATAGAATATGTTATGCTATGACGTACCTACTATGGTTAGCATAGTGGTGGAATTTAAGAAGGGATATTTAATTAATAGAATTTATAAACAGGACTATCTGTCTTCAGAGACACTTCAGGGATAACGATAAACTTCAGAGATACTGAGAATTGCAAGGGGATCTCAGTCTAATGACTTTTGAGTGCCTTTTCGGATGTGAACAAACCCAGCAATAGGGTGGATAATATGCCTTAACTGGGTCCCCAAGATACTTGATTGTGTATATTGTCTGGATGTTCAGGAACACATGGTCTTAATTTCTTAGATGTCTCTATTGTGTGTGCCAGTTTAGAGTTCAGTCTGGGTGCATTTATGTTATATAGTTTTTTCCATATTTTCTTTTAGGGTATAGGAACAAAACAGTCAGCAAAACTGCCAAGGTGCTTGCAGATCAAAGTGAAGATAAAAAATGAGTGGAGTGATTGCAACACAAGGTGACACTTGATCCAATGGAGGTTACTTTCACTGGCTTTCCTAGAAGCTCATACTGGGAACCCCATCTATGGGACTCGTGGTGGGTGGTGGGGGATGACAGAAAACTTCCTCTTCATGAAAATCTTAGGTCTAAATGACATGCTTATAGTTTGGTGGATGGATTGAGAGAAGCAGGGAGGCCTTTCCAGGCAGAAGGAACAAAATGTACTGTCATTTGGAAGTGACAGCAGGATGCACTGACAGGAGCCTGGAGCAGAGTATAGGAGGCGATGGCAAAAAGAAAGACTCACAGGTTAAGACAGGCCCAGGGCATGAAGGACAAGCAGCCACTGCACACATCCCCTCCACTAACTGCTTTGTTCTGCTCCCTCTTGCAGTACCAATACTATCCAATTTTTGTCTATACTAGAAATTTGGGAGCCATGCCCGATCCAATTTCCTTCATATCACCCATTTACTCCATCAGCAGGAATAGAAAGCTTACCAACTTTATTTACATATTCATCCATCCTTTATTGATAAAATAAATTTATTTTTGAGATACTTTCCATCTGACTTCAAGGTTAAATAAATGTTAATGAAGGAGGTAATGAAGCAAGACATGCTTGAACTTTGGAGCCAGACACAATTTGGGTTGGAATCTTGCCTCTACCTTTCACCTTCTGAGTATATAACCTTGGGAAGCTGTCTTGGGATCTTCAGACCTCAGAAAAGAGCACAAAGAAGTTAATTATATGTTCCTCAGAGTACCTGCCACAGAATTATTAAATATTCAATAGTGGAAATTCCTATATCCTCACTTCTCCTTCTAGTTTTCATTTCTCTCCTGAAACTTCGTTCATTGCATTTTGAAACCTTCATTGACTCTTCTATTGGATTTTGAGGTCCTTGAGGGCCAAGGTTATTGTTAGGGCTTTTTTGTTTTGCTTTGTTGTTGTTTTTTAATAAAACACTTTCTGTGTTTATGTTTCTAGTTTTGCTCAGTTTTGGTTTGCACGGGAGTCTCCTGCAGTCTGCCGTCTGAGTGCAAGAGGGAGGATGAATGATATCCCTTTCAGCTTCCTCAGGTGTGGGGAAAAGATTAGGAAAAGAGCAAACATTTATGGCAATCTGGAGTTACAGCATGTGTTTGAGTCCCAGGTATTTTCCTCATACATCGTTTAGCCTCTTTGAGCTTTTGTTTCTTCATTTGTGAAATGAAGATAAAATTCTTCTACCTTATCTGGCCTATAGGATCATCCCTGGATATTTGCCTTGAACAGTTTACAGTCTTAGCTCCCACCTGCCCATGGGAAGGACCACAGGGATCTTGTGCAGCATCCCCAAATCTTCTGCAGCAGCACTCCAAGTTCCATCTCCTTCTCTCCATTCCTTCACCTGCTTTCCGACAGGTTTCATTCTGTGGCCAGTACTTTGTTTTCCTCTCTATGGCGGCTGTTTGAAATTTAGGATTCCGTAGGACAGCCTTCTTACTTTGCAATTCTGACCTCACCGCTACACACCATAGTTCACATTACCCTCACCTTCATTAATGTCTCTAACAGCAACAATACAAATTGAGTAAATTCAATTTAGGGTGATTGAGATGTCACCTGTTTTTATTCTTTCCATAAATTCAAGCAAGATATGTTAACAATTGTTCGGATGTCATAATGTTATGCTAGAAGTTATTGGGCTCTTTAATTGAATGTTCTCTTAATTTGGGCATTGGTAAGGTACCAATTTGAGTATGCAGACTTGATAGCTGGGTTTGCCACCACCCTGAGCTAGTAGTGTATGTGGATGGCATAAAGAACATGTTGGATCTTTCCACCTCTGACTGGGGCTCTCTGTGGCCAGCATCCAACTCAGCAGGATCAGATGATTCCGGAAACACTGACTGCTTCTCTCCTGCAAGCTCACAGTGGAGCGTCTGGCACTCCCTGAGATCCCTGCCCTGCATGGCTTTTTACACAAACTGAACAAATCACATTCTCTAAATGAGAGAAGTGCAGCTCTGTTACATTTCAATCTTCTAAAGAGGAGGAAGGTCACTCGTCAGAGACCTTGTGGTCATCAGCAAATAGGGTGATCCAGGATGAAGACACACAGGCAGTAAATGACGGTTTCTTCCTCCTCTCCCTTCTCCTCCTTTCCCCTTGATATCCAGTCTTATCTTCTCCCTTCCTTTCTAACTCTCCTTTTCCAATCTGTTCTTCACTCGCCTTTCTTCTCTTCTCTTCTTTCCCTTCTTCTCTCCCTCTTTATTCTTCTTCCAGAAATCTTTAAATGAGTCATGATTCAAGTGAAAAAAGATTCTTAGCTAACTCACATATGGAAGCAGCAAATTTTCTCAGATTTTGAGCTCCTTGAAAGCTGAGCAGCATAGGAGCCTTCACAACCCTGTAGTCCAGGCAGCAGTAGAGGCATTTCTCTCCAGTTCCTGGGAATCTCATCCGACAGTCAACTTGTGTTGACAGAGTGAGTAGGACTGTGGCTTTTATTTATTTATTTATTTATTTATTTGCATCTGGATCTTGGGAAGTAAGCATGTGGCATAAGCTGGGTTTCTTACATTGCCCTAAGTCATTGTCACAAGTAGAAAGAAGTATGGTTGTACCTCTGCTGCACAACCACTCAGGCAACTGTTCCTAATGTCTTCTCTGAGGCCTTCTTTGTCACTTCCCAAGTCTCAGGTATGGGCAAATTATCCTCTATCCTACCCCATTATATTTGAATTCCAATTTGCTCGTAGTTCATTAACACCTACCACACTATTTCCTATTTATTTTGTGTCCATTCGCCAGCTAGATTGCAGAAGTTGTGTAATTGTGCCTCATTCGTCTTTATAGCCAAAGTATAATCCTAGAACAGTTTCTAATGTCAGATGCATCAGGGAACCCAATAAATGTAGATGGTAACGTTATGCTAATCTTACATTTTAATTCTATTAGTGGTGAAATCTTTATGACTTAGTCCTGTGAGTTGCATTGAAAGATTGATCTAAGCACCTCTTTTGTGTTGGAAAGGAGATATATTTTCAAAATTTTTAAATATTAATACATTTTTAGCATGGCATATGATCGTTTTGAAATACTTATTTCAATATCCCATGTTCTAAAATAGAGTGTATTAACAGAAATTTTGAGATGTGGTAAGGCCAACTGATCATGAAATGATTGCCATTGAAAAGATAATGGTCTTGAGTATGGAATCCCAAAAAAGGAGGTAAATGGGGGTCTGGGCTCTGGATTGGGTTGGTTTTTATTTGAAAAGTGTGTGCTCGGGCAATTTATTTTCTATCTCTAGGAACTGGTTAGTCCTGAGAGGGGAAATTCCTTCAGGGTCAGGAAGAACCAGATATCAAAGAATCAGAAATACAAAATAAAAGATAGACTTAATGCAGCTTATGATGCCAAAAGAGATTCACTTTTCTCTAAACATGAATGGGCATGTAGAAAAAACAGCAATCTCTACAGCTGTCTGGGTACAATTGCTGTCACAAGAACTATTGCCATAATGCGGTTAGGACATAAAGTAAACTTAAATACTCTACATACTTTTTATAATTGGAGGTTGTCTACATAGACACAGTAGAGACTTGAGAAGTCCCCAGAGACCTTAAAATTCTATTCAGTTCAGCTGTAACCGTATCCTCCAATCACCTTGTGGGTCATGTATGGATTGTCTTGCTTCTGCATTTATCTTCCAGAGATTTGCTGCTTTTACTAATTATTGGAGTAGCAGACACCTCTATTGCTTCTGCCTCTCTTGAACTATGATTGTTCTTATCTCTGGGTACTAAGTCCATCATCCTTAGATCCTGTAGAGCACTGGCTGCTGAGGCACACTTATCACCAAACGCCTGTTGGTGTCACTACAGAGTAGGAACCAAATTGCTCTCACTGCTGGATGACAACTTGTTTCTCATCTAGCATCCTAACTTATCTGGTAAGGAAATGGATAACTGCAGTATATAATTATTGTGTATCAGTAATTAACTCCTCCTGCCCTCTGTTTAGGTAAAAGAGATGAGGCTTAAAAGGCGCACAATTTTTAAATGTCAAAAGTATCACTTGACTCAAATCTTTCTGAACTTAGCACTTACAAACTTTTCAGTGGACCACAATGTCCAACATTAAATGCTGGAAATCACCATACCGTGGGTTTGTAAAACAGGCCAATATTTTTTTTATGGATACTTTTAAGGTCCATCCTAGAGGCCTATTTATATAAACACTTCATGCCTTACTCTGGGAACTTATCACTAAGATTTTCTTCAAAGACCTGGTGAATCAGGATTTTCCATTCATATCTGTGAATTAAGGATACCTGGGGGTAATCTCTGTCACTGAATACATCAATATATTTGCCAGTTAGACCTCTTCTTTGCTGGAGAATGCTGACTTGCACTTTTTGTATAGGTAAGGTTTATCAACAAGATTTGTACAAGGTCAAGATTGGGAGAGCTGTTAGTCTGAGAAATGCCAAATATCAGAATGGGGAAGAACGAGATCGTCTCTAGAACTCCTAGTTACTCAGAGGCATTTTATTTCATTTCTTTCATATGATTTCTTCTTTCTTTCTTTGTTGTCTTTTCCACACACCTTACAGATGATCAGTATTCTATTTAAAATGTACTTACCACAAGTACACAAGGCTCTTTATCTCAACAGTGATTATAGTTAGGCAATAGTAGAAATAAAATAAATGTCCATATGACTTTACCATATGACAGAATATTCTGCAGCCACTTAAAAGGATGAGATAGACCTATGAGCACTAACATAAACAACGCCCATGACTTATTACAAGTTTTAGAAAACAGGTAATCTATTATTTATAATAGCAAAAAATGATAACAGTAATTCTATGTTATTATTTTTCTCTTTTTTTTTAAACGGAGTCTCGCTCTGTCACCCAGGCTGGAGTGCAGAGTGCAGTGGCGCGATCTCAGCTAACTGAAACCTCTGCCTCCTGGGTTCAAGCGATTCTCCTGTCTCAACCTCCCATGTAGCTGGGACTACAGGTGCGTGCCACCACGCCTGGATAATTTTTTTTTATTTTTAATAGAAACAATGATAAATGAGCCATAGCTACCTGCAACAACATATTGAATCTTATAACATAATACTGAGCAAAAAAAAAAAATCTAGACATATAAAGAACATATGGTATGATTCTATTTACATAAAGATCAAAAATAGATACAACTAGCTTTTGGTATTAGATGTCAGTTTAATAGTTACATGGGTAGAGAAGGTGGCTAGTAATTAGGAAGCAGTGTATACAGGGGTATGGATCATATTCCATTTCTTGGTCTGAGCATTGAGTACCTATGTGTGTTCATTTTGTAAAATTTTCTCACAGTGTAAATTTATGAATTATGCATTTTTGTTATGTATTAACCTTTAAAGTTTATTGTAAAGGGCAGGAATTTGAATTTTGAAAAAATAAAAGATTGTGATGTTTCACAACATGGACAGTAATGAAAGGATATTCTTAGGTGAAGTAAGAGATGTGGTTCAGCAAGACCATGTGCAAGTCAGATTCCAGGGGAACTAGAAACCATGAGCATGGGTGAAACTGAAGACATTATTAAGTAAAATAAGCCAGGCAAAGCAAGACAAATACCACATGATATATGGAATCTAAAAAAAGCTGTTCTCATGGAAATTGAGAATAGAATGATGGTTATGAGAGGCCATAGGGTTTAGGGGGAAGATGGGGTCGGGGAGATGTTGGTCAAATAATACATATCTGCAGTTGGATAGAAGGAATAAGTTCAAGAGACCTATTGTGCAGCAGGGCAGCTATAGTCAATGATGATATTTTGTATTGTTGAAAAATGCCCATAGAGTGTATATTCAGTCTTTTCCCCACAAAAATGATAACCATGTGAGGTAATGTGTTTGTTAATCAGCTCGATTTAACCATTCCACAATGTATATATACTTCAAAACATTGTACACAATAAACACATATAATTTCATATGTCAATTTAAAAATAAGTAAATATATTTAAAAAAATTAAAAAGACACTATGAGCAAGTAGAGGAAGACAACTGTTAAACATAGGAGTAGGTTACAAAGCAGGCAGTGGAGGGGCAGGGATAACAAAATCTCCAAGAAGAGGGGTGAGCCATGCTATTGGATTTCCATCTGTAGTTTACATATATCCTTAAGATAAATCTTTGAAAAATCAAGTTAAAATGAATTAAGTTGAATATTATCAGCACTGATATTTATAAAAGAGATTATATATTTATTATTGCTGTGACTATCATTATTATGATTCGTGGAGCATCAGTATGACTCTGTACCTGAAACTAATGAGTTTGACTACAACACTCTTTTAATTCTTCATTTTTCTTATGCACTTGAGGAATTGGAAATTGTTTTCAAATAGTTTACATGTTACCTCTCAAATTCAGTTTTTACAATGGGTTCTATGATATATTAAAATAATGGTAATAATATAGTAGAAACCAATTATATTTTATTAACACTGGAAGTGAGCCAGACACTGTGCTCAGTAAATGCATGGTACAAAGCATCTCATTTAATCTTCCAGTGACCCAGTAGGCAGATATTATGATCATCACCACATTTCACATCAAAAACTGAGTCATAGACAGGTTAAATAAAATTGCCGAAAGTCAGGTAAATAGAGCGAGACCCTGGGAACAGATCTGTGCTTTCCGACTATCAGTCTGCACTATTCAACGTGGTAGCCACAAACATGTGATGGTCATTAAAAGAAAAACTGGAGAAAAGTTAAATTTAACAGACTTTAATAGAGCAATTTGTGAAGGGGTAGCCCTCTGCACCAAATTACATTCAGAGTGACTTTGGCACTGCCGGAAGGTGTAAGAGAATTTACGGAAGCAGGGAATTTATGGGAGAAGGGAAAGTGGCCTACAGAAAACAGAAGTGAGGTACAGAAACAGCTGGTTATAGTAACTCGGCATTCATTTGAACACAGTTTGAACAGTTGACTGACTGTGATTAGCTGAAACTCAGTGATTGGTACAGGAGTAGGTTACAGTCTATTTGGGCATATTGTTAGGTTAAAATTCACTATGTACAGAGAAACCATTAGACCAAACTTAGAATCTGTAAGGAGGCAGTTTTAGGGTAAAATCAGCACAGTTGAACACTTGAAACATGGCTAGCCTGAAATGAGCTGTAAGTCTCATATACGGTAAGTCTCATATAAAAAGCCCCACTGGATTTCAAAGACTTAGCGCCAAAACAATATAAAATATTTCATTAATATTTTATAGCTATTCTGTATTGAAGTGATACTATTTTATATATGTTGGGTCAAATAAAATGTATAATTAAAGCGAATTTCTCCCTTGATTGACTGATTGATTGATTGGATTGCTTCTACGGTGCCTACTAGAAAGCTTTGGAAGCTGAAATTATACATGTGGCTTGCATTATATTTCTGTTGGATCATGCTGGTCCAGACTGGATGCTCTACTTCTAGACCTGAGGTTTTCAACTTCAGCGCTTTAGGTAGATTTGAACGTACACAGATCTAGCTTCCTAGTGCTGGAAATTCAGATCTGCTCTGGGCTGGGGTTCAGTTGTTGGTGTATTTGAGAAGCTCCCGAGGTGTTTCTAATGTATAGCCAGAGGAGAGAACCCCTGCCTGGAGTCCATATGCCTGCTCTATGCAGTCTGATATCCACCTGACTCGAGACAGCTCCTGATGGGATAGTTACAACTTAAGCCTGGGAAGTCAAATAGCCACAGGGCTCTCAGCCTGCGCACCTATGCAAAGAGCTGACTTTGCTGATTATGTTTGTAGATCTTCCAGGATCACTGCCAATACCTGTGGTAAAGGAGTTAGATTCCTTTAGCTTACACCTCATCTGTCTGAGAGAAGTGAAGCCCCATTACACCAATATGGAGAAGGTTGTGTGTTACCTTGGTCCTGAATGTTCTGTGAAGCAAAGTTAAACGGTCTTTAGTGGGTTAGAATCCCTACTCCATCTAAATAGGTCACAGCTAGAAGATTCCCTTAAACCGCTGGGTCAGATTCTCCCTGTTGTCAAGAAAATGAAATGTTATTGTTCCAAGTCACATGTCTTGCTCCTAGAATGTGACTTTGCCAATGAACAGTGAATCCTAAGTGATAAAACCTAGAATTGAGGGTAAGGAGTGGGGGACAGCTATTATAGGTTCAGGAAAAATGGAGTTAACAGATCTTTTAAAAGTGAACTCGGACACCACAGACTGGGATTATCTTAGCATTGAAAACTCACTGGTAGATATAACTTGATGCAGGTTGCTTTTTACTTATAATTTATTTGTGGAAGAAATAGCACTTGGAAAGCCAGTGCATATTAGACATATTAATGAGAAGACCCAGGGCTTTTCATTTTCTTTTCAAAATATGTCTTATAACATTCACTTATCTATAGTCAGCCAGAGATGCACTGTTTGTGAAAGGAGGGGAGGAGATAAGCGGTTATTACAGGAAAGGTTTATATTTGGTGGGGGTGCAGGGGAAGAAAGGAAAATGACAGGCTGAGAATACAGATGTTTATGAATTTAAACTGTTATTTACCCTTAAATATCAACTTTAACTGATAATGCACATCTAAAAGCATTTTGCGTAGAAATAAGATAAACTATAGAGTATCAACATTATTATAAAGTAATTATTTCAGTTTTTCCTTTGTTGTTGTTGTTGTTTGTTGTTGTTGTTATTGGTTTTTTGTTGTTGTTGTTGTTGTTTGAGACGGAGCCTCCCTCTGTCACCCAGGCTGGAGTGCAGTGGTGCAATCTGCTCACTGCAAGCTCCGCCTCCCGGGTTCACGCCTTTCTCCTGCCTCAGCCTTCCGAGTAGCTGGGACTACAGGCGCCCACCACCACGCCCTGCTAATTTTTCGTATTTTTAGTAGAGATGGGGTTTCATCGTGTTAGCCAGGATGGTCTCCATCTCCTGACCTCGTGATCCACCCGCCTCGGCCTCCCGAAGTGCTGAGATTACGGGTGTGAGCCACGGCGCCCCACCTTTCAATGTTTTTTTAAGTGTAGTATTATGCAGTTGACTGCAAAGAGCAAGAAAATGAATCCCTAGGGTAAATGTAACTTTCTACCTCCTCCCCCACCTCAAGAAATTGCTGCCTCTTTTTATTGCCCCACCAAGCAGAAGACCACTGGTAAATGTCCTTAGACATCCAGCTCAGAAGCTATTGAGTTCACCAGAGGCTTTTGTAGTGAGGCCCTAGTGCACAGCCAGCATTAGCCACATACAACTATCCAGAAATAAAGATCATATCCTTGTCCTTGAGGGGCTTTTGAGAAATGGGTATGTGCATTTTTGGTACAAGACCATGCAGTTATGGAAAAGGTGCAAAAGGAATGCAGAAGGGAAGCTTGGGAAGAATTTTCAGGCTTAATAGTATTTATTCTGAGCTTTTAGGGATCGGTGGGCAGATTAACTTGCTAGGGCTGCTGTAACAAAGCACCACAAACTGGTGGCTCACACAATTCTTTTGTTTTCCAGTTCTTATCGAGGTATTAGCAGACTTGGTTTCTTCTGAGGGCTGTGAAGGGGTAACTCTTTCTTGCCTCTTTCTTAGCTTCTGGTAATTGGCTGTCACTCTTTGATGTTCCTAAGCTTGTAGAATCATTGCCCTAATCTCTGACTTCATCTTTAGATGATGTTCTCCCTATGTGTGTATGTGTCTATCTCTGTGTCCAAATTTCTCCTTTTACTAAGGACACAGTAATATTGGATTAGGATCCATTTTCATGACCTCATCTTAACTTGATCCTCTTCAAAGACCCTTTCTTAGTCCATCTGGGCTGCATAACAAAGTACCCTACACTGCATAGCTTATAAACAACAGGCATTTATTTGTCAGTTCTGGAGGCTGGGAAGACCAGGGTCAAGATGCCAGTAAATTGGGTGTTTGGTGAAAGCTCAGTCTCTGCTTCATAAATGATGCCTTCTTGTTGTACCCTCACATGGTAGAAGGGGCAGGGAGCTTCCTTGAGTTTATTTTATAAGAGCAGTAATCCTATCTGTGAGGGTGGAGCCCTCATGACTTACCCACTTCCCAAAAGCCCCACCTCTTAATATGATTCCATAGGGCATTAGGTACTAACATATGCATTTTGGGGGCACACCAATATTCAGACCATAGCAGACGCTATACTCAAATAAGGTCATATGCATATAGCTACTGGAGTCATTACTTCAACATCTTTTGGAAGACAAAATTCAATCCATAACAGTGGGAGTTTCAAGTAGAAAAAGGGAAGGTGCTTCTAGCCTGAATAACACAGTGTAAAAGACATGGAGCCTTTTAGTACCTCCTGGTCATCTCAGCTTCTCTGCACTTGGATGGTGGGACTGGAGGCCCCCCACCCCCAGGCAGCTTTCTCAGGGTTGCTTGTAGCAAGGCTCAGGGAGCTGGTTCTGTCTTCCTGATATTCTTATTATATGCCCACCCTGCCAGGGTGCCACCCTCTGTAACTGCCCCACCCTGCCAGTGTATGTTTGATCTCATTGATCTCATGGTAAGGATTCCTTTTATTTGCCTTCAGGCTCTCTTTTAACTAAATGAAATACTTGTTTAAGGCATTTATAAGGCCATTGAACTCTTTGTTCATTTTTATCTGCAAGTTAAAAAAAGCATATCCTGATTTCTAAACATTCTAAATATTCTCCTTTTCATTCTCTTTTCTGATCAAGGTTCATTTGCAACTGCTTATAAGCTCCTAATATTTTAATCTATCCCAAGCATTTGTTGATTTTTAAAAATAAAATTCAGGAGACCTGCTTTATCTAACAATAATTAATGCTGGATTAAATGCACTTAAACTTAATCCAGTTAAAATGAGGACAAAAAAGTCAGAGTGCAACCATTAGGGAGAGACTGACCTACACAGATGATGAGGTTGGTTTGATGGATAGAAATAAATACTAGAATTAGGCAGGGAGAAATGCTGGAGTGAAGACTCATTTCATAAATAGTGGGTTCGTTATTGAATATTGTTGTATTATGATGACTTTTGCTTCTCTATGTAGACTCTTAACTTCAGGGCCTCAGATAATGAATACTTGGATAGAAAGGAGCCTCTGAGGTATAGTTGGTTGATTTTTAGAATGACTATAAGAGTAATCATGCTTCATTTTGATACCTAGTGGCAACACATAGGATCTGATTTGCATATCTTGAGTATGCGGGTTTCCAGGTGAAACTTTTGCTTACTTATATGACATATAGGTTTGTGTGTGTGTGTGTGTGTGTGTGTGTGTGCTTCAACCTCACACTACTTGAAGATCAGCACATTTATGGACATCATAGTTGAGCTCAGTGTCTTTTAGGCCACCCTAAAAATGGTGGTACAAAGGAAATGTTCTCAAGAAGCACTAGAATCCTAGGTCCCTATACCTGGAGGGGATATGGAGGTGCCATTTAGAACAGTTCCTGTTCCCTCACACATGTAGGAGATCATGCTGTATCATGGTCTCCCACACCTCTGTCCTCCATACAGAGATCTCTCTGGGGAAATAGTGTAACAAGAACTATGACTGTGATTTTCTTTCGGTAGCATTCTTTTTTCTACGTAGTACAGCTTAACAAGTTTCTATGGAGAGACTTTGAGAATTTTATACTGTTGCAGTTTCCAAAAGAATTACCATAAGGCTGTGTTACACATCTGGATCTGAACTATGGCTGCCCAGTTAAGTAGATATCATGCTAGCCAATAAGTGTTCCAAGGATTCTGTGTCTCCAAGGACAAAGAGCACAATTTATTTTTCTTAAAGGGAGAAGTGAGGGAGAGTATGAAACTAGAGAAAGTAACATTATGGTGAAATTTCAGAACCCAGCATTAGAACAGTGGAGAGAATCTTTTTGGCAGGCAGCCTGGCCTGAGCCTTGCCCTTGCCCTTGCCCTGGACTCATCTCACTCCAGGACTCATCTCACTCCAGGAGCAGAATGCATGGTTGTTGCATGCGTCTGTTTCACCACCAGCTGTAACTGCTCTTATCCTCTTATCCATTGTCTTTACCAAGAAAATGGAAGAAATACTACACACTTCCTATTTGTTTATCTGTGAGGGAGAGTGTGAAAGACAGAGCCCATTCCCCAAAGAGGTCTGCTTGTATTACATCCCTCAAAATTTCTGGGCAGGAAATTCAAAACCACAATTGAGAAATATAGTTACCAAGAGTGAAAGTACAAGTTAAAAAAAATGAGTTAAAAAAAAAAGACATAAAAATAAATTCCTTAAATACCAGTTTCTGGACACAGACTTCTCCAGAGTTAGCAAGTCACTGACTGCCTGTGGCTAAGGCTAGTTTTGCATATGGGAGTAGAATATTTTAAAGGTTCTTTTTGACTTAATGCTGCTTCAAGAGAAAACGGAAAAAGGAAAGAAACTGGCGTTTTGTGCATCATTTATATGCCATGTATTATTCTAGGCACTTTGTTCGTGCTTATGTGTTTAATCCCTAAACATGCAGGTATGCAATGTTTTTCTATTTTATTGGTAAGGACAATGAATAAGAGGATAAGAACAGTTGCAGCTGATGGTAAAAGTCAGGCATGCATAACCACGGACCACACTGCTCCTTGAGTGGAGTTGGCTCAGGGTAAGGGGTGATCTTAGCCAGGCCACCCTTGGTGGCATGGCTCAATCCAAGTTCAAAGGCCTCAGAACCAGGGAAGCCAATGATGTGATTCTCAGTCTGAGGCCAAAGGCTTGAGAACCCAAGGTCATTGATTTAAGTTATAGGGTCCAAAGGCCAGGGAACCTGGAATTTTTGTCCAAGAACAGGAAAGGAGGAGTATATCTCAGTTCAACAAATAGATCAACATATTTGCATTTTCTCTCATTTTGTTCTCTTCAGGATCCCAGAAGATGGGATGGTGCCTGCCCATATTGAAGTCAGATTTTCCCCATCTAGTCCACTTAGATGAACATGCTAATGTCCTCTGAAAACATCTACACAGACATACCCCAAAATAATGCTTTATTAGGTTTCTAGGTATTCCATGTTCCAGTCAAGTTGACACCTAAAATTAGCCATCACACAGGGGGGAAAAATTTTAAAATATAGAAAGATGAAAAACCAGAATTTATCGAATTACTATGTGCTATATGCTTAAGAAACCTTACTTGATATCATTCTCATTATAAACATACTTGATATTGCCTTTATGTAGGGAGGAAATTGAAGTTTATAAAGGTAAAGTAGCATACTTGCAGTCACTCATTTTAAAAGTGACCAAAATTAAAGTCAAATCCAAAATTACCAGACTCTCAGCCCCTTGATTTATGCTGGTTCTCGCATAATACCCTATGAATCAAATGCACTGATAATATACCATCATTGTAGCTACACCTGGGTCTATAAATTCACTTGTAGTCTTTGTAGTTTTAATTTCACTCTTGATTTAAACTCAGAACCTTTTTTTATTTTTGCATGTCCCCAGGCTACATTTGACTAGCTTCAAGTAAAAAACAAAACAAAACAAAAAACATACTGCATAAATGTTATGTGGAAATAATTCATTTTTGTGAGTGCAGTCTTATGTTTTTGTTTGTTTTAGTGGGCATTATTCTCCATAATTTTTATAATTCTTTTTATTTGCAGAAGCAGGGTAGACAGATTATTATACGCAAGTCATGCTTATTCCATTTCAGTCATGAACTGACAATTAAGTAAAATGGAATTCTTAAGAGTTGGCACAAATATTTATTTGTTTCCAAGTTCAACTGGAAAATTTAATGAACTTGCAAATGTGGGGGTGGAAAGGATGACATTTTTTAAGATGATGATATGCCTAAACAGGTCTTAATAATACATGTTTTATCCCTTCAATTTGAATCTTTCCAACTTTAAAATGTCAACCCAAGCCTGCTGGGGCACATGATTGCCCCTCTCGACTTACTAAGAAATGTAGACAATGTGATATTTTTTAGGTTTACTTTCTGTTTTCTATTATGCCAGCCCAAATAAATGCATTAAAAACAAAAATAAACCCTAAGAAGAGAGAAAATGTTCGAAAACATTTGTTCCCAACATAATTCCACAGGAAAAAGTATTAGAAAACATGAGGTCATATCTTAAGAGAGGATATAGTGCATGGTCTCAGAAAATAGAAGAAATAAAGGAAAATAGGTCCTAGAATGTGGGCTCTCTACATGTAGGTTTTGATCCAGATTTGTTTCATCAGGCTTCCATTTGCTTATTAATGATAAAGTACTGCAAGTACCTTTACTGGTAGAGAAACACCACAAGTCCCCATGGACTAATTTCAGCTGACCCTGGAAGCTTCTGCAGCATTTTGGGAGCACCCCAGAAAGTCACGGTATGAAGAATTTTGTGTACCTGAGCCACCCCTCAGCTTGCTTTTCTGTCTTTGAATTGCCATCAGCACCAAATGAAGCTAGTCTAGAATATAAAACCAGGCAGCATACCAGTGTCAGCATTAGAGTATGTTGGTTGGAACAGCACACAAATCCAACACAGAGATAAACAATCAGAATACCTACATATCAGTTGATCATGCTGCTCATCCTCTGAGGCCAGGGTACAAGTGCTTTCACCATTTTCCTTATGGTTCTTTGTGCTGTGAAAAGGACTTTGTGAGTGCAGAATCACAGTGAGGAGACCAAGGTTGGATGAAAAGTCCCCTGTTTTAGCCTATAACTGAATACCACAAAATGGGTACTTTATTTTGAAAAAAGAAATTTATTTGGTTCATGTTTCTGGAGGCTGGGAAGTCCAAAAGCATAGCGCCAGCATCTGGTGAGGGCAGTTCTATGGCAGAAGGGGGAAGGCAAGTGAGCTCAGGAGACAGAGAGAGGAAATTGAGCTGAATTCATCCTCTTATCAGAAGCCCACTCTTGTGATAACTAACCCCCTCCTGTGATAACTAACCCCCTCCTGTGATAACTAGTTTACTCTCATGATAACAGTATTAATCCCTTCATGAGTGGAGCCTTCATTGCCTAATCACCTCATAAAGGCCCCACTTCTTAGTACTGTTACAATGACTATTCAATTTCCAACACAGGAACTTTGAGGAACATATTGAAACCATAGCAGCTCCAAATGGAGAAGCTGGGTACAGAGTTTGGATGTGGGTGGGGTCAGAAGCAGATGGTCAACTCACGAAAGGAGGATGTGTTTAAGCCTAGGAGTACCTGATATCAACATGGACAGATTCTAAGCCTTAAGAACACTCTGGGGTGAGAATTGATGTAACATGAACAATTCTGTAAAGACAGAAATATGCATTTGTTAATTCAAGTAACAAGTCTGAAGTGTCAATGATGTGGGAATTGCTGCACTAGGTGCTGAGGAGATAATGATGAGCCAAATGAGTAAATTAATGAAGAATATGGTCCCCTGAATCAGTGGAGCTTACTGTGCAAGGCTTTTTGATAGTGCAAGGCTCTTTGAACTAGTGACATTTAATTTGAGATTTAAAAAAAAAAAAAAAAAGTGGAGTGGTCCTTTAAAAGACAAGCAGAAGGCGTGGAGCATTGGCTCGCGCCTGTAATCCCAGCACTTTGGAAGGCCAAGGTGGGTGGATCACAAGGTCAAGAGATCGAGACTAGCCTGGCCAAGATTGTGAAACCCGGTCTCTACTAAAAACACAAAAATTAGCTGGGCATGGTGGCACGCACCTGTAGTCCCAGCTGCTCGGGAGGCTGAGGCAGGAAAATCGCTTGAACCCAAGACAGGGATGTTGCAGTGAGCTGAGACCATACCACTGCACTCCAGGCTGGTGACAGAGCAGGACTCTGCCTCAAAAAAAAAAAGCCAGCAGAAGAATAAAGCAAACAGCATGTTTCAAGACTCTAAGGACTGAAATGGTAGACATAACAGAAAAAAAGGAGAGTGGTTGATATGGGTGAGCAGTGTCATATCAGGCAGGTCTTTCAGACCATACTAAGAATTTTAGGTATTATAAGTCAAATAGGAACCTAATAACACAGTAAAAATAGAATATACACACATATTCATTCATATACATGCATATATATGATTTAATTTATATATTAAAAGGTTTATATTGCCTGCTACATGGAGAATGGTTTATGGGAGTATAATCATAAAAGAAGACTAAAAGATAAAAAGCTATGTATTATTTTATATTCTGCATATTCGACATATTCTTTGCATATTCTTTGTATTCTTTTGTACCCTAGGATTAATATTTTTGCAGCTATAGTTGACATAAGATAAGCCACCTGTTTATAATGTATCACTAGATACATTTTTGACATAAGTATTCACCAGTGAAACCACCACTGTAATTGAGACGATTAACATGTCTGTAACTCCCAAAAGTTTCCCCACATCAATTTGTAATCTCTCCTATCAGTCCCTACTCCTGTCCCCAGGTATCTACATACATGTTTTATGTTATTATAGTTTCCATTGTCTAGAATTTTGAATAAGTGGAATTATACAACATGTACCCTGTTTGCTGTCTGATTTATTGCACTCAGCATATTTATTCTGATATTCTTCCATATTGTAGTTTCTATCAATAGTTCATTTCTTTTTACTGCTGAGTACTATTTCATTATATAGAAATGTAATAATTTGATTATCCATTTACCTGTTGATGGATCCTTGGGTTATTTCCAGTTTGGGGGGCTATTAAAAATAAAGTTTCTATGAACATTGGGTACCCAGTGAAATTGAACTTTCAATAGTTGTTGGTAATGGAATGGCGAGATCATAAAGTAGGTATATTTTTAATTTTCTGTGAAGCTACTATTGGAAATGGCTATATAATTTTACCTTTCCATCAGAAGTACATGAGAGTTCTAGTTGTTCACATCCTTTTCACATTTGGTATGGTAAGTCTTTAATCTCACCTATTCTAGCGGGGGTGCCATATATCTCATTATAATTTAATTTGCAATTTAATAATAATGAACAATGTTGGGTATCTTTTTAGGTACTTATTTGTCATCCAGATATCTTTGGGGAAGTGTCTATTCAACTATGTTTTGCTCACATTTAAATTGGTTTGCTTATCTTATTATTGAGAAGTCATTCTTATAAATTAAAGATACAAGTCCATTGTTGAATACATATTTTGCAATTTTTTCAGACTGTATCTTGCCTTTTGATTTTCATAATGGTGTCTTTGAAGAGCAAATGTTAATGTTGATAGATAAAGTCCATTTTATTGATTTTGAAATATTTTCTAGTTTGTAGCTTTTATATTTTAGTTAAGAAATCTTTGCCAAATCCATGGCACTAAGATTTTTTCCTATGTTTTCTTCTAATTTTGTAGTTTAAACTTTACATTTACATCTATCATCCTTTTTGAGTGTATATATGTATAGAGTATGAGATTAGGATCCAGGTTCATTTTTGTGGATATGGCTATATATACTATTGATGCAATGTCATTTTTTGAAAATATTCTTTCACCATTGAATTATGTTGGCATCTTTGTCAAAACCAATTGGCCACATAAGTTTCGAATATTATATTTCAGAACGCTTTTATCTGTTGCAATTATTTATTTGTCTATAATTAGGCCAATACCATATGCCTTGATTACTACAGCTTTATAAGAAATCTTGAAATAAAGTCATGAGATTCCACAACTTTGTTCTCTTGGCTACAGGAACGTTGTTTTGGCTACTGTAGATCTTTTGTATTTCCATAAAACATTTAGAATTGGCTTGTCAACTTCTGTGACAAGAACAACAAAAACAAAAATGCTTCCTGAGATTTTAATAGCATTGCAATCAATCTGTCTATCATCTTGGGGAGAATTGACATCTTAATAATATCAAGCCTTCTAATCCATAAACATGTTATATCTATTTATTTAGATCTTCTTTTAAGCTTTTCAATGTACAAGACTTGTGTGCCTTTTGTTAAATTGATCTCTATGTATTTTACATGCTTTGATGCTATTGTAAATGACATTTTTGTTTCAATTTTTCTTTGTTGCTGTAAAATGATGTACATTTATTTTTGTATCTCTCTCCTATAACCTTGTATCCTGAAATTTTCCTAAGCTTACTTGATAATTATACTAGGTCTTCTGTAGATTCCATCAGCTTTTCTGTATAAATTGTCATGTTGTTTGCAAACAAAGACAACTTTTCTTCTACTTTCCCCAGCTGAATGATTTTTATTCCTATTTTTTCTTGTTACATTAACTAAACCTCTGGTACAGTGTTGACCAGAAGGTATGAGAGTGGATATTCTTGCTTTATTCCTGATCTTAGGGAAAAAAACATTCTTTCACAGCTAGATATAGATTTTTTATAGCTACTCTTTATTAGGTTGAGGAAGTGCCTTCTATTTCTAGGTTTTGAGAGTTTTAATCAAGAATGAATATTAAGTTTGGCTATGTTTTTGCCTCTGATCTAGTTGTTAAATTATCTGCTTAGATGTAAAAATGGTGAATCACATTGATTAATTTTAAAATATTAAACCAACCTTGCATTTTTGTGTATAAACCTTACTTAGTCATGATGCACTATACTTTTTATATATTGTTGTATTTTATTTCCTAAAATTTATTAAGATTTTTGCATCTGTGGCAATGAGGGCTATTTATCTGTAATTTTTGGTTAGGTCTTCGTCTTTTTCGGAATCATGATAATACTGGCATCATAAAATGAATTTGAATCGATTGTTTTTCTTTAATTTTCAGTGATGAGAAGCCCCCGAGATGATAGGAAACAATGAACACCAAAGGAATTATTATTTTATTTAAAAAATAGTGCTTGCTATAATTGAATAATGTTCTAATTTTAGTATGCATGAGAAATACCTGAAAATTTTACTTAAATAGAGATCCTGGCTGGGTGTGGTGGCTCACACCTGTAATCCCAGCACTTTGGGAGGCCGAGGCAGGCAGATCAGCTGAGGTCAGGAGTTCGAGACCAGTCTGGCCAACACAGTGAAACCTCATCTCTACTAAAAGTACAAAAAGTAGCTAAGCATGGTGGCAGGTGCCTATAGTCCTAGCTACTTGGGAGGCTGAAGCAGGAGGATCACGTGAACCCAGGAGGAAGAGGTTGCAGTAAGCTGGGATCACGCCACTGCACTCCAGCCTGGGTGACAGAGCAAGACTCTATATCAAAAACAAAAACAAAACCAAAAAAAAAACCAAAAAGATCCTGATTTAGAAAGAAGGAAACCATAACTAGTATTAACAAAGAAAAACATATCTCCTCAGGTGATTTTTTATGTAGATGATTCATGTTTTGAGAACTCTTAGTCTGCTCAAAAGTTCTCAAAGTGTGTTTCTCAGACCAGTAGCATCAGAATCACCTGGGAACTTTTTAAAAATGCCGACATTCTGTACTCACTCCAGATCTACTAAATCAGTAACTCTGGGGAAAGAAGTAGGTGCAGTCTGTTTTTTATTAGGCTCCAAGGTGACTCCAGTGCATTACAATTTGAGAACTATTGTTCTATGTTAATGACACAGAGAGAGAATGTATATAGATGCAATTAATTTTGTATATTTTTAGAATATATATGTGTTAAATAGTGGGAAATTTCCTCTAAATTGGCTGCTTGTTTCTTATGACCTGTATAGAAGGTCTGAGAGTGAGAGAGGGAAAGTTGTGTCAGGTGTGTGAGTAGTGTGGAGACGATATGGCTGATCATTAGGGAAACAGGAAGGCAGGCTGATGACATTGTTAGTGACCATTAGATGACTACTTAAGCTCTGTGATTGCTGTTCTTTATTGGTGTCCATTTGCCCAGTGGTACAGTTTTCTTCCCCCATTCTGAGCTGCCCACAGTAGAGGTATGGAGAAGGCAGTTTCTTGGATTTGTGTCCATTTATTTTGCCAAATAGGTAGAAGGGAAGACAAAAGGGATAAAGTAAATAGAGTATTTGCAAGAGAGTAAATGACTGTAGTCATGGACCATGGTCACTGTCCTATATAAACAGAAAGATGAAGACAAGACGAGGATAATTAACAGAGAAACTGCTGGGTTCTACGGATACAAAGTCTTGATGAGATGGAAGAATTGTTTAGGTAGATACAGGTTAAGAAAGGACCTAGGAGTATAAATGGTAGTGGCTACAGAGTGAAATGTTTGTTTTTGAATTATTGTCATTTTCGTGATAAGCTACAAGGTATGACCTTGGTAATAGAGGCTGAGTTCTACTGTGCCAAATCATTGGTATTGAGAAGGACAGAGACTGGGTGAATAAAATACTTACGTGCCTATTGATTTTTTCTTCATGAGTGATGTCAATCATAGTGATAGTAGGAAGAATGGGAGGCTGACAGCCAAGGACTAAATCAGAATCAGAAAACACAGGGGCATCAGCACCACAGAAGGTAAATTAGAAGGCATCACTGCCACAGGAAAGCTCAGAAGCACCTGAGTTTGTTTCTCTAGCTGATTAATTTGGGCCTTACCACAATTTCACAGGCTTATGTCCCCAGTAAATCCTAAAGTCATAGAATGTCTTTTGATGATAAATCTGTAATCGCAATATCTGAGTATGAGTTCTGATGTAGCCATGCAGATACAAATAATAGCAACCAGTTATCCTGTAGAACTTTGCAAAGTAATTGAATCATAATAAGTTCCTTGTTTTTTCCCTATTTATGACAGAAACCAAAAAGTTGGCTTTGAAAGACTCCTACCAGCTCAGAAGTACATGGATGAAGATAGTTGCTGATGCACCCCGCTAGCATCCATTCTAATTTTGTTTTTCAAATTCACAGAGAGTGAAGAAGTTTATCAAAGGCAGGTGCTGTCAATTTCATGTATCATCTTTGGAATTGTCATCGTGGGCATGTTCTGTGCAGCATTCTACTTCAAAAGCAAGTAAGACTATTTCTCTCAAGTGTTTAAAGGTTACTTTTAGAGAAAGCGCTTTGTGTTACTTTAAGTTCTCAGTCTGTGTGCCACACAGAGGGAACCTGTGGAAATGGGTCTAGCAACAATCTGCAAGTGACTTAGGACATTTTTGTAAATTGTGGTGAGTGTGTACAGGCATGTACATGCATGTATGTGATGTGTATGTGCACACATGTGTGCGCGGTTTATCTACGATGCACATAATGATCATTCCTCTCAGTGACCACGAACATTCTATGTTCTTTGCACTGATTCACCACTTGCTGGTATTAAGGGCTTGGTGTCTGCCTGTCACTAAAGGCTAACTCTTCTGAACAAAGGGGCCACTGCTATGAACCTGCACATTATCAACCATTATCTATCTATTTCTGAAAAAACAATTCAGTTTTTCATAAAGATTTTAGGCAAATGTGGAATATGAATACTAAAAAATATACTTCAGTTTACCAGTTGGTATGCACATGTTGAATATGCCCTAAAGTTACCTTGCTGAGAAACTAGACCTTCTTCAGATAAAGGTGTTTATGTTTGACTAGAAATAGATGTAGGCCAGGTGCAGTGGCTCAGCCTGTAATCCCAGCACGTTGAGGGGCCGAGGCAAGTGGATCACCTGAGGTCAGGAGTTCAAGACCAGCCTGACCAATATGGTGAAACCCCATCTCTAGGAAAAATACAAAAATTAGTTGGGCATGGTGGCGTGCCACTGTAGTCCCACCTACTTGGGAGGCTGAGACAGGAGAATTGCTTGAACCTGGGAGGTGGAAGTTGCAGTGAGCCCAGATCACACTGCTACACTGCAGCCTCGGGGACAGAGTTGTCTCAAAAAAAAAAAAAAAGTAGATATAAACGTCTCTCTCTCTCTCTCTCTGTGTGTGTGTGTGTGTGTGTGTGTGTGTGTGTGTGTGTGTGTGTGTGTATTTTTCCAAATGAACTCTGGTAGACGTATTTCATTTATTAAAATGATATAATCTGCACTTAAGAAATGCAGATAAAAATATTAGCCCCTTGGTTTCTCATGTCTTAAGAATTTTGCACAGATTTGGTTCCTACAGCTTGTCTGAAATTCAAGCCAATGTGTAATTGCTTTTCAGTGGACCTATAATTTTTTACCAATTTGCTCTTCTAACATGGGATTAATTTCCAGGTATAGTTTGTGATACCTGTCTGCATGTTATCTGTGTTGATTCTCAAAGAAAACTGTGATTATGATTTTTTAAAATAACAGAAACTTGAGCATCAATTCAGAATTAGTAACTATTATCTTCCTAATAAACTATTTCAGAATGTTTTTTAGATATTTAGAACTGTTGCAAAAATAGAACAGACAGTTTCTATATACCTTAGACCAAAGTTCCTCCATTATTAATGCCTTACATTAGCATGGTACATTTGTCACAATTAATGGAACAATATTGATATAGTATTACTAACTAAAGTCTGTATTTTCAGATTTCCTTAGTATTTTACCTAAGGCCCTTTTGTTAATGCCAGGGCCCCATCCTTACCATATGATATTAGCTGTTACATCTCCTAGGCAACTCTTGGCTGTGGCAGTTGTAACTATCAATTTCTGAACACTTACTCTTTGCCAGGCACACTGGGCTTCTTATGTGTTAGCTTCCAATCACCACAGAAATCAGAGTTGTGCATTATTACTGCATTTTTCAAATAATACCAGAATTTATTTTAAAATGTTTATTTTTCAAAGTCATAAAGAAGAAAATGACAGATAGGTTCTTTAATTTTAGGAGTTCTAGTTTAAATCACATGCTCTAAACCTCTATACCATACTGGTTCACATAGTCCTTCTGCTAGATGGTGGAGCTGCGCAGAGCGAGTTAGGAGTTACTCTCTTTTGTGCAGCCCATAGCACTTTATGTTCTCCAAGAATGCCATCTGGCATAATGGTCAGGGTTGTACACTAGTGAGTCATACTTGGATTCAAATCTTCAGGCTGTCATTTACTTGTTATATTTGATTAGGCAAATTATATCGTGTCTCTTAGCCTTGGTTCCCTTTGTGGTAAAATATGAACAAGTATAATATCTACCTTATAGAATTTTGTTAAGGATTAAATGCAATCATGGCCAGACGCGGTGACTCATGCCTGTAATCCCAGCACTTTGGGAGGCTGAGGCAGGAAGATCACTTGAGACCAGCCTGGCCAACATGGTGAAATTCCATCTCTACTAAAAATACAAAAATGAGCCAGGCATGGTGGTGAGCACCTGTAATCTCAGCTACTCGGGAGGCTGAGGCACAAGAATGGCTTGAGCCTGGGAGGTGGAGGTTGCAGTGAGCCAAGATCGCACGACTGCACTCCAACCTAGGCAACAGAGTGAGATTCAGTCTCAAAAAAAAAAAAACAATGCAATCACAGTGTAAAGGGCATAGCAAAGTGTTTAAAAGAGTAAATACCCAATGGAGGCTTGCTGTCGTTAACACCCATGGTTTTCCACACTAGAACTTGGAGGCTGGGTAGCTATAAAGTTAAGAGCCTCCCCTGGAGCACGAGAGTGGTAATCACACCCAGCAGGGTGGTAGTTAGAAGTGTCTCCCTGCTAGAGCTTTGTACAAGAAAGAAATTCCTTACTTAACAATAACCAAATTACAATAAAGAAGCAGTTAATCACTTATTTTTACAGTATAATGTGTAGTTGTACCACATTTAAATGAAAGACAGATCATGGTAATTATGAAAGCAAACAGCTGGATTACCAGGGGACTTCCATCTTTGGGGCTGTCAATGTCTCACTCTGGACAGCAAGAGGGCTCTGAGATCAACATCTCCTCCTGGGACTCAGTGAGGAGTCAAAGTGTTTAATGAAAACAATCTTCAACATCAGATTCATTAGGGTAGGCTCAGAGGACTGCACAGAAGCTAGAGCACCAAGCGGGACATTGTTATCTTTCTGTCTACCAGCCTGGGACACAGTTTTATTTAAAAAATGAATCAATTAATAACTAAAGGCAAAAATGATAAAATGATGATACAAATGGAAGTATTTTCCACCTGAAATTGGATTAGCTATATGTTCCTCATTAGAGGCCTAGGGTGCATTTCCTTCTTCTAGTACCATTTTCAGGCTTGGTCTCCCTTTTTTTTCTTTGCTTGAGAGAAATGCCACCACCTTACCAAGCACCTAATTTATATTGCTAAAAGCAATATAGATTGTCATAAAACCCTGGCACAAGTTGTGTGTGTGTGTGTGTGTGTGTGTGTGTGAATTCGTGGATTTCCTTTTCCAAAACCTTGGGGAGAACAGAATATCCAAACTCTACCTTGACCTTCCCTTACTTTCACTCATAAAGGAAAGTAGTTTATATGCATATACATTTTTTACTTTAGCTTAGAAGCCCCAAGTCTTCCAGGATTCTAAGGCCTCTCTATCACTGGTATTCAAATAAGTTCACTTGAACCTCCATTCGATACACTGGGATGTATAGTTTCTGCCCAGAGGGAGCTGAGACTTAGCTCAAAGCTCTCTTGATCATTTATGTTCTACTTCCCATAATCACTTAGACCTTGCCTTTATGATTCTTTTTCCATTCCCTCGTCACCTTTGGCATGGCATGACTTCATCAGAAGGAATATTACAGCAAATTCTGTGTCTGAGGAAAGATGGAAGGTAGGTAACATGATAAGGAATAAGTAAGAAACACCTTGAATTTAGAGGATTTTTTGATGGAGTTAACTGAACCCATAGCAACTCTAAAAAACAGTGAAAGAAATTCTCTTCACTCCCAATAAGCTCATATATTCCTATACATAGTTAATAGAACTATTAATTGAGCCTGTCAAGTCTGGCCAGTGTGGCTCACGCAATGACTGTAAATTATTCAAGTTTTTCTCTTTATTTTTAACTTATGTAGTTAAGAATGATGGGGATGAGTGTTAGAGTTCTTAGCAGAGCTTGGAAATACAAAATATGATTCAACTCTAAAACTAGAATTGAAGTAGGAGAGGATATGTTTCAGGAGGCAGAATCTGAAACAGGTAATTATCACAAATGGGAAAAAAGAGGAGGATAAAAACTGGTATTATCAGTAAAATGTAGACACGGTAACAACCTGCCCCTAACTATAGGTCATCAACCCCTTGAAGTAAGAGATTTTAGATCCCAAAAAAAGCCTCTTAATGGCAGACACTCTGATGCACTGCTGCGTCTTCTTCAGATATGGAGGATTTAGTCGCCAAGTTTGCCAGCAAACACCGGTGAAGAGTCACCTTTCTCAATCTCATGTTCCATTCTGGTATTGTTTACCTCCAATGATGCATCGATATGAGGCTCTGAAGACCTAGACCTTTTCCCCAACTTCAGGTGCAAGACCATGCCAGCTTCAGAGCTCCCTCTGAGGTTTGCTGAGGTTTTCACTGAGACTGTATCACATTCCAACTTCTCCCCAGCCCAATTCTGCTTCCATTTCTTCCCTTTGCTTCCACAGGTGTTGATACCAAGAGCTCTCCTTAACAAAAGTCCTCTATGCTGTCTTTATCCCAGGGTCTGCCTTCCCAGGAGCCCAATCTGCAACAAGACAAATAATGCCTAACAATGGATTAATGATGTCTACTATTCTGCAACTTACATCTCATTTCTTTCTAATGCATTGGACCAGAGAAATTTAAAACTCAAATGAACTGTAAAGTTTCCACACTGACACTGTTGGGCTAATAGTATTCCCATGTGCAAGGCATGCATCTTTTCTTCCCCAGAGCAATGCCTCTCATGAGAGAGCTAATGGTATTGCAATCAGCTGCTGATTGTTTTCTCTGTTCCCATTTTCTGGGTGAAGGAAGAAAGAGCAAAAAAGTGTGTGCTTGTGAGAGAGGAGGGATGGTAGATAGGCAGAGGCAGGCTCAGAATGGAAGGACCACGTATCTTGGAATATTACTAAGTCAGGACTTGAGTGAAAAAAGACTAAAGGTAAGCAAATTATAAAAGGATTTAGGAAACGCAGTCCGGTATTGGATATTGCTTAAAGAAAATTCCCTTATAAGTTTATACTTCCAAGACTCTGAATTGGATTACTGCAAACATCATTAAGTGTTTCTAATTTAATCCCATGAGAGTAATGGAATCCTTGCTCTGAGACATGCACTCTTACTTTTTCAGGATGATTTACCAGACTAGAACCTCCTGATTTCCCCTTTTTTGTGTGTGCGAATGAACCCCTGATAAAATCTTGTGGCTGTAACATGCTCCTTAAAATGCTGATATGATAGATTTATTTTTAACAATAGGCTATAGATTAGCTGTTAGGAAGCAAATAGATTATTACAACAGGATTAAAGCAACTAAGAGTGCTAGAGATAAAAGTCTCCCAAATAATTGGAAAGATAAAAGAAATATCTTAAAAAACAGAGCTACATCACACTGATATTGTAAATTCAAAATGGGTAATGAAGCTCAAAGCCTCCAAAGCTTGCAGCAAGTGCTGGTGAATTGCTTGGGAAGATGCAACTAGTGTAATCTTTTACCTTTGGGTCAATGTTCTGATTCTTTTGCAGCTTCTGCTCACAAGACTGAGCTTGCTTGATGGTATCGGGAAAGATATGAACATTTTGCGTGTGCCTCCACATGCAGCCACCACAGTGTCCGTGGAAGATAGCTTTTATGAACTTCATTTACAGAGGAGGAAATGGAGGCTCAACAAGTTTAGGAAATTATTAGGGTAGCAAAACTAGTGGGTAGCAGAGTGGGATTCAAATCCCAGTCCCTGTGATACAATAAGCCACGCTCTGTAGGGTGCTACTGACTGGAGAAGCTCATTGCTAAGACCGGCCATGTGCTCCACTGACGGCACTATCTTTGTCAGAGACGTTGGAAGACAGGCAAAATTCAAGGGCATGATTCTACTGGGAAAGTTGTCAGAATCAAAATGGAGTCATTTGTGTTAAAAACCCTGACAAATAGAGCCGGAGAAGGACATGAAGGGAGCAGTCACGTAGGCAAATGCCTGATTACAAGAACTATCACAAAAGTCTGTGAAAACCGCAGCTTTGCATGAAGACTATTGCAGCCTTACATGCACGAAAATAGTTCTGCAAGGACATATGCCCAGCAACTTCCTGTCCACCCTTGGACTGGCACCATCCTTTCTATTGATCCTTGTAGCCAAGGATAGTGATCTCAAATCAGTTGTGTACCTAACGTTTCCTGTCTTCCTAGTGATAAAACATAGTTTCCTATATCGTGTGTATTCCCATTGCAACACTTATTTCCAAATAAATATTTTCTTTTAGAGTCTCCATGTTTGTTATTTAGGTCAACACTGCAAAGAGGTGTGCGTGTGTGTGTGTGTGTGTGTGTGTGTGTGAGTGTTGTGTTTAATGGGTACCAAGTCTATGCTAATAGATGATTTCTGTGAAGCTTCTGGGACAGAGCTGCTGCTAAGGCAGTGGTTTGTCCCATCCTTCTGGTGTAGGCACTGAGTGACCCAGACAACAGTCATTCCGCATGTGCACACAGGAGCACTTTACTTGAAGTCCAGAACCCTACAGCAGTTTCAGCCTTTTCACTCAGAAGCGGTGGGACCATGAGCACATGGCTTGGCAATTCTGAGTGGTGGTTGAAGAGTGTAAACTATGGAGGCAGGTTGGCTGGGCTGAGATCCAATCGCTGCCACTCACTGACTATGTGACGTCAAACAAATGGCTTAGCTTCTCTGTGCTTTAGTTCTCATCTACTTAATGGGTATAGCATTATGGCCTCATCACAAAGAATTATCATGAAAAATCTGTGAAATGATACATATAAAGCACTTAAAACCATGTGTGGCACATTACTGTATAACTAGCTCTTTAAGAGTTAACTATTTTTAATATCTGGGCTCTTGGTAACAATAAATGAGCTATTTCTAAATTGTAAAAGACAGAGAATATACACATTATGGTATATAGTCAAGTTGTGCAATTAAGCTAAACATATTTGAATTGTACAAATATAAATGTAACTCTACAAATATGTCATATGTACCTGCTAAGCCCAAGTCTTAATTGTTTTCCTCTAGTCACTTTCCCATAGTATTTCCAGTTCTTTGCAGCTAAAACTCAGGGTTAGAGACTTCTTGCATCTATGGGGGCCAGGGCAATGCACTAAATGTTTGTCTGCTTTTGGGGTGCCACTGAATGTGAATTCCTAGAGAATATGGATGATATCAGGTTATCACTAAACTGGAAGTATTTCTGGTGGGGTTGGAAATGAGAGAAGGGTTCTCTTCGTTAGCTGAGTTTATTTAACTTTAGCAAATAACAAATATAGACACTGGGAATGAATGAGACCCTGAAAGTAGGAGTTGAATAAAGTCATGCAAATATTTGTACACGTTTATTTATGCCTGCAGGAAACAAGCTAAACAAATCCAAGAGCAGCTGAAAGTGCCACAAAATGGTAAAAGCTACAGTCTCAAAGCATCCAGCACAATGGCAAAGTCAGAGAACTTGGTGAAGAGCCATGTCCAGCTGCAAAATGTAAGTGACATGTCTACACACCTCCTCCTATAGCCTACCTCAGTGCTTCCAGCTCAGAGGTGTTGGGAGCCTGGGATCAGACTTGTAAATATTTTTCAGAGCTTTATAGGGTTTTGCTTAAATCGTTTTAACAGTTCTGGGCTGGGACGTATGCACACATGCATGTATGTATGCATCAGATAAAAGGCAAGTTAAATTTCAGCTCTTGATTACAATCTGTAATATAAACTAATCTCTAGTAAAAATAAGAGCTTCAGTTTTTTGTCCCATGAACACTTGTTGAATCCTTAGTTTGTGCCAGAAGTTGTATGTGACACCAAGGATACAATGTCCCTTGCCATAAGGGAAGTTCTATGTAGGAAGAAACACAAAAACCCCCAGAATCAGAAGAAGTGAGTTCCGAGATAGTTGTTGTTGCAGCAGAGGTTGGACAAGAGGAAGCCAGTGGGAGGTGGATGGGGGTAGACTTGGGGGCTGCCTCACAACAGAGTCGGACTCGGACTGGGTTTGGAAGGATATGAAAAGTTCTATAGAGAGTCAAAGGGCTAAGAGCTAGAAGCCAGAACATGCAGGAAGAATAAAGCCATGGAATCCTAAAAATGCATGTTATGTTCAGAGAACTCCAAGTTAAGGGGTGTGAGAAGAATCAAAGGTGAAAGGTGGAGTTTCATAATCAATCCTTCTAATTCCAAGCCTTACAGAGATATCAGAACTTGAAGTTAAATGCAAACTCTTTGCCTCTTACACTTTTTGTAAGGCAGTTTTAACCATTACTGAGGTATATTGCAAAACACTAAATTAAAGCAAGAGAATTCTGTGTAATACATGCAGATATATTCCTCTTAGGTTAGCAATTCTTTGACCCCACACAGCATCCGCACTTTCAGAATCTGAGGCATAAAACAAAAGAACAAAGGCCATTGCATAAACCTAGCATTTGAGTATAATAGGCAATCATCCAGGACACATTCACACCCCTCCAAATGCTTCAATCACTGGAAATTTATACATCACTGGTGATTCTAAGAAATCATTACCCAAAAAGTCGCTATTATGATGTCCATAACAGATGTACTCAGATGATTTAATGCAGAATTCATAAATCAGAGTCTCTTCCCAGGCAAGTTTTGTTAAACTTCTATTCATGGCAATGTGCAGGAATTGTTCATTTCAGAAACAGAGTGAATGGTTTTGCTATTGATTTCTAATGGGTATAATCCCACCACTCTAAAACAACCACAGTGATGGAGGGCTTCATTCCTTAGCAACTGGTTATGTCAAAGATAAACAAAGCCAGACACTAGTTAAAGTGATGAGGATAGATTCTAATCAGTAACATGTTAGTGGAATAGTTGAACTGAACTTCTATTTGTACGGAAATGGCTGGATTTTTTTTTTTTTTTTTTTGAGAAAGAAAGAAGTAAAATTATATTTGTTTGTAAATGACATGATCTTCTGTGTAGAAAATGTCAGGCTTCTGAGCCCAAGCTAAGCCATCATATCCCCTGTGACCTGCACGTGCACATCCAGATGGCCGGTTCCTGCCTTTTCTGATGACATTCCACCACAAATGAAGTGAAAATGGCCTGTTCCTGCCTTAACTGATGACATTCTACCACAAAAGAAGTGAAAATGGCCGGTCCTTGCCTTAACTGGTGACATTACCTTGTGAAATTCCTTCTCCTGGCTCATCCTGGCTCAAAAAGCTCCCCCACTGAGCACCTTGTGACCCCCACCCCTGCCCACCAGAGAACAACCTGCTTTGACTGTAATTTTCCTTTACCTACCCAAACTTTATAAAACGGCCCCACCCCTATCTCCCTTCACTAACTCTCTTTTTGGACTCAGACCGCCTGCACCCAGGTGAAATAAACAGCCTTGTTGCTCACACAAAGCCTGTTTGGTGGTCTCTTCACACAGACGCAAGTGAAAGAAAATCCCAAGAGTCAACCAAAATACTGCTGGAATTAATAAACACATTCAGTGGATTTGCAGAATACAATATCAGCACCAAAAGTTAGTTGAATTTCCATACATTAACAATAAACAATTTTAAAAGAAAATTAAGAAAACACTTCCATTTGCTAGAGAACTTAATGTAAGAAACGCTTAGGTATAAACGTAATAAGGTGAAAAGTTTGTACCTTGAAATCTACAAACATTGATCAAAATGATTAAAATCAATAGACATACAACCCATATTGATGGATTGGAAAAATTAATATTGTTAAATGATGATATAACCCAAAATGTGGTTTAAATTCAACACAATACCCATAAAAATCTCTATCAGTTTTTGTTAAAGAAACAAATTAATATAAATGCATTGTCTCATTTAGTTCTAACAATTAATTTATACCCACAATGTGCAGAAAATAGAAATGGGATTTGGAGCTTGAGAAAGGTATGTCTGTCAGACAGCTAGTAAGTAGCTGAAAGACAAACCAACATCCTTATAACTCAGTGGTTCTCAACAGAAGGCAATTTGCCCACCATCCCTTGACATTTGGCAAAGTCTGAAGACACTTTGGCTATTGCATGCTGGGAGAAGAATGCTACAGGCATCTAGTGGGTAGCGGTCATTGGCGCTGATGAACATCCTTCAATGCACAATAACCTCCCTCAACAGAAGATTATCCTTCCCAAAATGTCAAAAGTGGTAAAGAAGTTCACAGTCCATGCTCAAGTTTCAAATGGGACCATGGGGAAGTTCTGAACACCAAGTTCCATCACCAAGCTTCCCACCGCAGGCATTTATTTCCACTTTACAGAGGGTGACGGGTTATTCAGGCATATTTCATCCTTGGAAAGGAAAATTTCCTACTTGCTTACCATATCAGGCAAATCTGTCTTTGTTTTATCTTGAAGCTCATGTTAACTACTTGAAATTCTTTGCAAATTGCAGTGTTTAACAAATGAATTGTCTGGCTCTGGCATTCCTTTATTAAGTTCATTAAACATTCATGGAAATGGGTTTCACTTTATAGTCATCTAACAAGATGCAAAACACCTCGTCAAGTGAAGCAACATGATACTCTGGAAACACTTGACTCCAAGGCTGCAGAACTGGAGTAGATTACCCTCCCTGAGAAGCATCTAGTCCCTACCATTGTTTTAAAAACAAATAAAGCATCTGTGAGTAAAGATGAACTCACCTCCTTTGCTGTGTCTCAAGTAAGAAAGAGCTAAGGATAGAATTATAACCTCTAGAACCTTCAAGGCAAAGGAGTGAAACTTCTCAGCCTGGTTTAGGGATCAGAAAAGAAAGTCATCAAAAGAGATCATCCGTTCTTCTCTCTTAAAATCAAGAGAAAATATTCACAATTGAAAAATGAAAGAAGAAAATTGTATACCCTTCATACCTTTTTTTTCAGTAATCATTTTAAGAAAGGTAAGTTTATGGGGGAGGTAACATTAAATGAGAAAGAACTGGAAGATAATACTTGCATGCTAAAGAGGAATAATAAGAATTTAATGCCTAGGCCAGGCGCAGTGGCTCACGCCTGTAATCCCAGCACTTTGGGAGGCCAAAGCAGGTGGATCACCTGAGGTCGGGAGTTCAAGACCACCCTGGCCAACATGGTGAAACCCCATCTCTACTGAAAATACAGAAATTAGCCAGGCGTGGTGGTGGGTGCCTGTAATTCCAGCTACTCGGGAGGTTGAGGTGGGAGAATTGCTTGAACCCGGGAGGCAGAGGTTGCAGTGACCCGATACCATGCCACTGCACTCCAGCCTGGGCGACAGAGTGAGACTCAGCCTCAAAACAAACAAACAAAAAAAACAAAACCAAAAAAGAATTTAGTGCCTAACAGAGCCTTAAAAATTGGTGAAAAGGCACATATTTATCCAGTAATGTTTATTGAACTCTGGTAAAGCCCACACTTCTCTGTGTTGGGTACTGCAGGGATAGCTTAGAATACAAACAGAAGAAGTGGTTCCTGATCTCAGGATGTTCAAAGGTTAGTGGAGAGAAAAATGTACAAGCATATAATATCTTTATTATATAGATACATTAAATCAAAGTACTATCAGAGAATGGAAAACGACTTCTGAATTTGACTAGGGGAATCTCAAGCCTACCTAAAGGAGGTCACATGTGAATTGAGTTGTTGGCCTAAAGGAAAACAAACAAAGGAAACAAAAAACCTAGGCAAACTTAATATAAATAGAGCAATTATTTTGGCCAGTTTTGAGGACTGCAACCTGAGAGCATAGACTTAATGTACCCTAAATACATGCTCCCATCAGCAGCAGTTACAAGTGGGTTTTTATAGGAAATGAAGAGGCAGTTCCCAAATTGTTTATCAAGAATTTGCATTAGGCCGGGCGCGGTGGCTCACGCCTGTAATCCCAGCACTTTGGGAGGCCGAGGCGGGTGGATCACGAGGTCAGGAGATCGAGACAATCCTGGCTAACACGGTGAAACCCCGTCTCTACTAAAAGTTCAAAATATTAGCCTGGCGCGGTGGCTGACGCCTGTAGTCCCAGCTACTTGGGAGGCTGAGGCGGGAGAATTACGTGAACCCAGGAGGCAGAGCTTGCAGTGAGCCGAGATGGCTCCACTGCACTCCAGCCTGGGTGACAGAGCGAGACAACGTCTCAAAAAAAAATAAAAAAGAATTTGCGTTAAAATAGTATAAGCTATTGCTTGGCTTATCCATGGTTCTTTTTATTACAAATTCCAAAAACTTGAAAATAAGTGATGAGGCAGTTAGGAACAAAATGTCTTTAAACAATCACCCCTGGGTTTGGTGGGGGTGAGTGACTACAATCCCACACTCTGTCTCTCTGGGCCTGATAAATTTTGCATACCTCATATAGCTCACACTGCTCTGAGCTATTTTTGGTAGAGTTTTGAGAGTGAATTGAAAATCATGGAATTGTTTGCAGGGAGTAGGTCAGAAGAGGTAATTTTGTTGTAGCATTAATTAAAGTTAATTTTTAATAGTTCTAGCCTAAACGCTGATTTATTGCTTTAAATATCAAATTATAACTTATTGATTGAATATAGATTCATACATTCATTTATTTACTTAAATATAGACTAAAGAGCCTACTAAGTACCAGACAATACCTATTAAGGAACAGGCATGTGATGATGACAAAAAATGAGAAAGCTGCTTCTTTCAAGAAGTTTGCTGATTACTGCGAGTGATCAATATAAATCAAATAATCTCACAAATGTGGGCTCTCATCTGTGCCAAGGCCTACAGGAAATAGTGAACGGTGCTATCAGAGCTTATAGTAGGCAGGCTGGGGAGTTCATATCAGACCAAGAATAGCTCAGCTCTCTAAAAAGGTGCAGTTAACACATGAAGAATCCCCCTGGTGAAGTGGTAATTTGCTGGGGAGGAGGTGGCGTTTTGTGCTGTGCCTAGTGTCTGAAGAGGGTCTCTTTTCATATTATTTTGCTTTAAAGGAAATGTGTGAAAATTGCAATTCTTAAAGTTCTTGCTGCTTTGGTGTCCATGCAAAAATTCTCAACAGCGGTCGAGTTGTTTTTAATTACCTACATTAGAAATCCCAGTGAAATCACTCTTGAAAACATATTGTAACTATCAATTTCCCCATACTCGGGCTCATAAGTCAGAGTGGCAATAAAGAAAATTTTGTCACAGACATATTTGAACCAAGCAATGCAGAGAGAAAGACATTTAAAACTGCCTAAAAATATCCTCCTCCTGCTTTTATTGCCTAGGGTTCCAGACCAGGCGATTATCAGCACTGTCAACATTGCTGTCCAAAACTGACCCTACTTTCATTTAACCTTCTGACTCCTGCTGTGTGCATGTGGCAGACCTGGAAACAATGCTGTTATTCTACTGCCAACATGCGCCTGCTTCATTTGACTGGCCTATTGATTTCGGTGCACCACCTACAATGTGCTAGGAGCAAAGCAGGTGGGCGGGCAAGAGGAGATACCTTCATTACCTGGGAGCATTTGCATTAGCCGGCACTTTCAGGGGGGCCAGTTGGATGAATGCTTCTCCTAGGAAATAACAATATTAACCAGGGCCTATGAAGGAGTTAACAACAACAACAAAAAACACTTGAGCTAATGCTGAGAGCACCATTGAATGAACTGGGGCATCTCCTTATTCACTGCTAACAGGATCTTTTGTATATTATACCAAATGAGCTCTTAACCATGTGCACACAATAAAGTCAGGATCTGTGTCAAGGAAATAACATAGAATCAACTGCCAGGCTTTGTAACATTGTAGAGGATGCTAATAGGGAGATCCAGACAGGCAGCTAATCTGAGCACTTAAATTTCACTGAAGATACAATCTTAAGAATAAGTTTGTCCAGACCTTAGCTTGTCTCGGAGATAGAACTGCATGCATTTGGATGGAAACAAAATAAATATTTTTGGGCTGGGCACTGTGGTTCACACGTATGATCCCAGCACTTTGGAAGGCAAAGGCAGATGGACCACTTGAAGTCAAGAGTTTGAGACCAGCCTGCCCAACATGGTGAAACCTTGACCCTACTAAAAATCCAAAAATTAGCCGGGCGTGGTGGTGGGCGCCTGTAATCCCACCTACTCAGGAGGCTGACACATGAGAATTGCTTGAACCTAGGAGGCCGAGGTTGCAGTGAGCCGAGATCAAGACACTGCACTCCAGCCTGGGCAACAGAGTAAGACTCTGTCTCTCTCTCTTTATATATATATATATTAGCACAGAGCATAAAATGTCCAAAAGCTATGATCATGGTCAGTCAGGCTAACTTTCCAGGAGGGTTGGTATAGGTGAACTGTTTTGCTGAGTGGAGTATGCATCTTGAGGGCCTACACCTGAGCTACTCAAGCAATTAAGGGAAGACTGAATTCTGCCTTTAGTCTCTCAATTCTTTTTGTTTATTTCGATGTGTACTTTTTTAATCATTTATGTTATTTTCTATTTTCTTAAGCAGATCTGATATTTTAGGATAGCTTTCAATTTACAGAAAAGTTGAGAGGATACCACAGCAAGTTTCTATACTCTGTATTCAGTTTCCCCTATTATTAACCTTGTATATTAGTAGGGCACAATTCTGAAACTAACAAACTAATAAGAATGCATTATTATCCATAAAATCCCACATGTTGGCATTCTCACAATTGCTATTGTTTATTCTGATTTTTTGAGTGTTCACCTGATTGCTGCCTGTGTTCTAATCCCAGGTACCGCATTACATCTAATATTCATGTCTCCTTAGGTTCCCCTTACCTGTGACAGTTTGTTGATTTTTTCTTTTTATGATGACCATGACAGTTTTGATCAGTACTGGTAAAGAATTTTGGAGGATGCCCCTTTATTGGAATTTGATTCTTTTCTTATGATTACATGGGGTTTACTGGTTTTCTGTAGAAATTTTTAAAGTGCCATTTTTATTATGTCATATCAAGATACACGCTACAATATGATTTATTATTATTGAAGTTTACCTTATCATCTGTCTGAGGTAATATTTGCCAAGCTTCTCCACTGTAAAGTTACCCTTTTCTTCTCTCTCCTTTTGCATAGAATACTCTTTGGAAGGAAGTGATTATGCATAGCCCACTCTTAAGGAGTGGGGAGTTACGGTCTTCTTTCCTTATGGTTAAGTATCTACATAAGTTATTTGGGATTCTATCACAAAGGGGTTGTCTCTTCTCTCCCATTTACTTATTTATTCCATCATATATTTTTATCAGTATAAATAAACTCATGGATACTATTTTATACTTTGATTTGTAATCTAAGTAGTAAATACTATGTTACGTTCTCATCAGTTTTTTCTGGCTTTGGCCATTGATAGGTCTTTCAGCTGGCTTATGTCATTTTAACATTATGTATCAATTCACTGTAAGTTTTCAGGGTTTTTTTTTGTTGTTGAGCACTACAAGACACTCCTTGCTTATGTTGTACATTTTCTGCCTTGGTTCTAGAATCAGCCATTTCTCCATGGAAATAGCTAGTTTCTTTCTTTGCAGAATTTCATTGGAGACTGAGATTTGGAAGCTAGGTGTGTATGTTATTGTTGCTACAGGGATGTCTTTTCTTGGCCTTCTCAACAGACAGATCAAAGATTTTATATATATATATATGTATATTTTTAAATAATAGATATATTAAATATGTCTACTTAAGACATATTTAAATAATACATATATTAAAAGATATATTTATATATTGAAGGTTGCATATAGACTAACACATATCTAAATTTTTCTATGTAAGCATCTGTATCTGTATTCTGCTAAACATGTGTCTACATTGATGTCTACCCCCAAATCTAATCCATAACTACATCAATAATTCTACCCTCCTCCCGTTGCTTATTTATAAATTTCCACTCCAACAGTGAAAAACCTCCTTCCCACTGTCTATTATTCATTTACTTATTTTTTCAGTGACAGAATACACATAAAGCATTCTCACAATGGTTATACCATACCTTTGCACTGTTCAACTTTAATGGCTAGGCGGTGCATTTGGGCGGTAGTTTTGCCTTTAGTCTGCTGAACACTTGTGACCTTCAGAAGTGTTTCTTCACTTTTTTTCCTCTCTTACGTGAGACGGAAAGGCTACAGGGAGCAGGAATTGGGGAAGTGCCTTCTTTCTGGTGAGATAAGGCTCTGGTAAAATATTTTTACTACAGGAGTAGGCAATTGTTATTGAGAATGCTCTGTGTGCATTTCAAAATAGTTACTTTTCCCCTTCCACTGGCAGAGACATTAGATGATTTTTTTTGTTGCTGTTGGGGTTCTTTGCTGTGAGAACCTGGTGTGGTTCCTGGAGGTCAAACCCATGGAAGTATCGGCATTCTGCCTAAGACTACAGACCCCAACTCTCGTTCTAGTGCCCATACAGATTCCAGCAACTTGTCCAAATTACTTCTTAAACATTCCTACCAATTTATGGTTCCAGCAGATTCAGTTGCAGAAAAGCTGATCTTAGCCATTATTCTCTGTATTCACCTGTTTCTCCAGATTTAAGGTGGCAGTGTGCCCTTCAACCTCAATTATCCAATGAATACAAGAAGACATTTTCAGTTTGTTCATTTATTTTTCTTATTGCTAGGACAGGAATAGCGACTTCCAAACTCTTAGCTTGTCAAAACTGAAACCACAGAAGCTATCTGAATTCATGTTCAACAAAAATGTATGGAATATAATTTGGAAGTTGGTCAAATTATTAGACTCTTATCATGCTTCCACAAGTTTCAAGCAACCTCCGGATAGGAATACCAGCAATTTAAACTTGAATTTCAGGTACAAGTAGTCACTGAAACAAAATGCTGTGAGAGAAAGAAAAAAAGTTCTAAAATAATAAATTCTGGAAACACATTTATATTAATGGACCAAAATAATACAAATAAAAACAACTGTTTAATATCGCAATAATTCAAACATATGAAATAACAGATTTAGGAAATATCTATCATGAACACTATGAATAAACAGAACAGGTTAAGAGGTTAATTCTGTTTATGAGTGTTATCCGGAATTTTGGACAAGGCCCTCTATCTCTCAGATTCTAAGCAGAGACTATGAACTAATGGTACAAAAGATGAATTAGGCTTTTTGACAAGGAAGGAAGGGAGGAAGGGAGGCAGGGAGGGAGGGAGGCAGGGAGGGAGGAAGGGAATTACTGACTTTTAGTGATTTGGCAGTTTCTCTAAAAGATCTGCATGCTCCAGAAATAGTTGGCTGATATTGTCCCCTGGCAGCCCGTATTAGTCCATTTTCACACGCTGATAAAGACCTACCCAAGACTGGATGATTTATGAAGAAAAAGAGGTTTAATGGACTCACAGTTTCATATGGCTGGTGAGGCCTCATAATCATGGTGGAAGGTGGAAAGCACGTCTTACGTGGCAGCAGACACAAGAGAAGAGAGAGCCAAGTGAAAGGTTTTCCCTTATAAAACTATCAGATCTCATGAGACTTATTCACTACCATGAGAACAGTATGGAGGAAACTGCCGCCATGATTCAATTATCTCCCACCAGGTCCCTCCCACAACACGTGGGAGTTATGGGAGCTACAATTCAAGATGCAATTTGGGTGGGGACACAGCCAAACCATATCACAGCTCTCTGCAGTTGCTGAACATACTTGCTTTCTTCAGTTTGTCATGGATTTGCCCAGAGCATCTCACTTGTTTTTGTAGCTGGGCCTTCTAGGCACCTAGGTTTTTCTTGTAAACCAGTTTATTAGATAAAAAAAGATATGTCTTTTATATCCCTCATATGTCTTTTATAGACCTGAAAGTCAGACAGATATTCAGGATATCATCGCACTTTAATAAACATGTCCATTCATCTGACTTTTTCCATGGGTACTTTGCAATACACAATCAATAATGAAGCACACATAGAGGTATTTCCATTATGTATTGGATCTTTGTTATTTGAGGTTGTTGAAAACAATCACCTTTTCCAAATTATCTCTGTACCTTCTCTTTGTTCTCTGTCATTTTCCTCCATTTTGCAAAAAGACTGACCAGCCTTTATAGGTCCACTGTGAAAAATTCGGATTCTGGTTCAAGACATGGTCATTACTGCCACTATGTGGCTTGTTTTGGAAGTTATTGAAAATAAAACATTTAATTGGAGCTTTTGAACTTAAAGCTGCAAAACCTTGATATGTTCCCTAGTCTCCATAGCTTATACTCATGGATATACTTTTTCCCAAGCATAACACCTAATTAGATAGTTAATAATTTCTTTTAACTTAAAAATCTGCCTCCTAAGTAATTGCGTGAGAAACACACACATGCAAATGCACACAGAAAAATATATGTACATACAAAATCTGTATATATATAAACACCAGGCTAATTATGTGTATATAAACATAAATATATACACAATCTATTTATATCTATTAATTGCACCTTCCTTATTTACACAAATGGATTTATATGCATACGCTTTTGCGCCTTTTATTCTTTTCAATGGCTGTGTAGTATTCATTTATGGACATTTCTATTGTTTTGAGTTTTTTTCACTTTTGTGTTTATTTCCGTTTCGTTATGGACAATTGTGCTGCTGATGTACCCTGGAAATTATTATTTTGAACTTTTGCAATTATGGAAATTTGCATGATAGAAATTCTAAAAGTAATATTTTGGATCAAAGAGTATGTATATCTAAAATTTTGAAACATATTGTCAATTTGCTCTTCAAGTTAGCACCACGGCTACTTTTCCAGGGCCTTTTCCTTTATCAGATATTCTTGAAATTTAAATTTCTCTATTTATTTTAAAGGCAGAGTCTTGTTATGTTGCCCAGCCTGGAGTGCAATAGCTAATCACATAGCACACTACAGTCTCTAACTCCTGGGCTCAAATGACCCTCCCACCTCCACTTCCCAAGTAGCTGGGACTACAGCTGTGCACCACTGCACTTAGCTTAATTTCCTCTATTCTGATTACCACCTCTTTATAATGAGTGCAGTTGCACTCTTTGCCATATGTATGTTGCCTGTCTTTATTTTTCTGTGAAATTCTTGTTCACCTGTTGCCTTTCATTTTTTTCCAGTTGATTTCTGCCTTTATATCTTAAGAATAGTCTTTAACATAAGAATAGCCTATGTTTCCCCAGGCTTTTACTTATATTTTGATTTACTAATAATCATTTTTGTTACTTAAGACATTTAAATTAGTAGTAAATCAAATTTTACATATTTTTTTCTTTATGGTCTCTAGGTGTTTTGTCCTGGTAACAAATGTCTTTCTCCCATAAGGTTAGGAATACATCTCCCATATAGTTTTATAAAGGTTTTTGAATGTATTTCCATTATCCAAAGAGTTCATTCATATCTTCTTGTGTTAGTCTGTTTGCCTTGTTATAAAGCAATGCTGAGGCTGGTTAATTTATAAAGAGGTTTATTTGGCTCACAGTTCTGTAGGCTGTACAAGAAGCATGGTGCCAACATCTGCTTCTGGTGAGCATTTCAGGAGGCTTCTGCTCATGGCGGAAGGGAAAGGGGAGCAGGTGTCACATGGTGAGAGAGAAAAAAGAGAAAGGCGAAGGGTGCCATGCTCTTTTAAATAACTAGTTCTTCCATGAATTAATAGAATGAGAACTCACTCATTACTGCAGGGAGGATACAAACCATTCATGAAGAATCAACCCCCATGACCCAGACACCTCCCACCAGGCCTCATCTCCAAAATTGGGGATGAAATTTCAACACGAGATTCAAAGGGGACAAATATCCAAACTATATCACTTCTCTTTATCAAAATCTAAAAATATAAATTGAACTAAAATTATACTTTACTGTTATCCATAGTTATGTTCCTTGCCACAATTCATAGGTAATTAAGTTATGACAATGTTAATGGTTTATAATTTTCGTGACTAGTTGAGAAAGCCGTTCTTTTTTTTTTTTTTTTTTGATACAGAGTTTTACTCTCTTACCCAGGCTGGAGTACAGTGGCACCATCTCGGCTCACTGCAACCTCAATCTCCCGGGTTCAAGCTATTCTCCTGCCTCAGCCTCCTGAGTAGCTGGGATTACAGGCGCATGCCACCATGCCCAGCTAATTTTTGTACTTTTAGTAGAGACAGGGTTTCACCATGTTTGCCAGGCTGGTCTCAAACTTCTGACCTCAGGTGATCTGCCTGCCTCAGCTTCCCAAAATTCTGGGATTACAGTCGTGAGCCACCGTGCCTAGCCTGAGAAAGCCTTTCATAGTGAAGCTTTGTTGTTAGGTAGATAAAAATTTATGAATATTTATCACTTGGTAGATTGCTCATTCTATGAATATGAAATATCCATCTTTCTTCCTTTTAAAATGCATTTTATACATAATTATATTTTATTTGAAATTATTACTGTTAAAAGCTTTTTCACCTGTACATTGCAGGGTATATCTTTACCAATTCTGTCGACTTTTTTCTCTGTTGTTTTTAAATTAGCTCTTTCAGAACATAGAAGACCAGATATTCAGTGTATGAATCTGTCTTTTAATAGTTAAATCTAACCATCCACAGTTTTTATCATCACTGATAGTTTCACACTTATTCCTGTCACATTTATTTCCAATTTACCATGCTCTCTTGTTACAAACCCCCTTATTAATTTTTGTTGAATTAATATTAGTTTAGTTTTTTCATGTATTGTATATTACACAATTCTTATATTCTAGTGCTGTCTAATTTCTAATACTTAAATATATATATTTTGTTCATCAGTGTCTAAAATTAATCAGCATGCATATATTACATTGTCTTTATTCTCAACAATCCCAGCTAGGATTTTTTGTTTTTAAATGTTCATTCTTCTCTCTTTTTATGTTCTTTTTCTTATCAATATCTTCCAGCCATGTTGAAATTCTTTGGACTTTACTTTCAAGCATTAATTTTAAAGCCGACATTTTAAGAAAGAGCTTACAATAAAATATCTTCCACTCCTTCCTCCTGGATTCATTTTTCTTCGGTTAGAACTATTTCTTTCTCCATTTCTTACTTCATAAGTCATCTTTAGAATCTATGTAAATATAAGACTACAAGCAGCCACTACCAATTGATTAGAAATGGTACTTAGGGTGGAATTTATCTTTAGTTTTTTATAGTTCAGAGATAACATTTCTAAAAGGCTAGGAAACATCTTAGAGTATCATCTTAATTATTGTATCTACCTTCTTTTTACCTGGATCAAGTGCATTAAGTATTGTCTGTGAATTTTTTCAACAACCCTATAAGAGAGATTTTATTATCTCACCATATAGATGTGAGATTCAAAAAGGTTGATTAACTTGATTTTTTTTATCAGTGCTTCTAATACTGGCTTCTTTGCTTTTGAAATGAGAAAAAAAAAGGTATACTGAGTTTTAGAGTTTTACAGTTACTCAGGTTAACACTTAAAATCTGTAGCTTGACACATTGGGTACTGAATATCCAGATTCAAAACTCTCTTTTATTTTGATTAGCATCCTTAAACTTCTATTTCTAAAGAAAGTCTTCACCTGGAGTTTCTAGAAGAGAACTCTTCTACCTTTTGCCACCTGTTCCAGCGCCCAGTGTGCAGGGAGTGTTAAAGTTGACAACTTATTGGCTCTTGAGATGCCATGTGATATTTCTTTTGGGGTAAAATTTTTCTGAAGTTGTCATCTACATAAGCCTTCTTTAGGCTTCTATATCTTATAAGCTATTATAGTCAAAGGAGAAACCAAGAGTTCTGAACTATAAGGAGTGAAATGCTCACAAATTCTCTTGTTAAACATGGTAACTACCTGGTAACAAGCTGAAAGAGAAAAACAGTGGAATGTGGTGGCCAGATATTCTGAACCAATGTCTTTCATCATTCTCAGAATGTTATGAAATTTAATAAGTGTTGATTCAATCCTTATTATTAGTAACCCAGCTAGTAATTCAATTTTTTTGGTAAGATGTACATCAACTAAAACATACTTGTAAGTGCCTTTTGGCTGTCAGTCATAGTGTGCCATGGGTGTGCATTAATTAAAATGAGATAGCAGGCTTGGGATGCTGACATGAAGAACCCTCTTCAATGGATCCTGACTAGGCACAGAGATGGTTGGGGCAGGGGAGGTGAATACTCAATGTATTGGAAACAGGACACAAATTATGTCTTATCTCCTGCTCCTCTAGTCAGGTGACCAGGAGGAACTGGCATTCCAGTAACTTCTCAATGCTTAGCTCTGGTGTTATAGGCCCTCCATAATGTATCCTTCGTCTCAACTCTGTACGTGTGATTTCCCACAGTATTCAAAGGTGGAAAGGCATCCTGTGACTGCATTGGAGAAAATGATGGAGTCAAGTTTTGTCGGCCCCCAGTCATTCCCTGAGGTCCCTTCTCCTGACAGAGGAAGCCAGTCTGTCAAACACCACAGGTACAAGTAGCTCATCATGGTGGGTGTGGGCACCTTCACACTGTGTGTATGCTGGGTGGCACATGCCAAGGACTGGCAGCATGACTTAGGAGAGACAACTGTTCTTGCTTCTCCTGTAGTTCTCTGTGGAGTAAATGCTCAAACACCTCACATCAGGTAAAGCAAAGATACCAGTTTCCACAGCAGACAGCATTGCCTCTGTAAGAAACCTGATAGAACTATAGATAACACCCATCAAAGTTACAGACCAGTAAAAAAAAAAAATGCATTCTGAAAAACTATTTTAAAAAATATGTTATCTAGCCTGCCTTTTCTAGATTACACAGTTAATGAGTAATTCTTCCCTATGCAGCCTAATGTGACAGACTTCAGGTTTTCCAATATGGTTCTTACAAAATAAAATTTTCCACGGGGAAGAAGCCTGGTGAATCTTCTTCTTGGGTCTATAAAATCTTCTGTTATAAATGAGGTGGCAGTTTCTTGCAAGCTTCCCAGAAATTGGCTGCTTTGGAGAAAAAGCCAAAAACATAGTTATTTGACACATTTCATAGCATTCTAAAGCTTAACTTGTCCTTCAGCATCTTCTAGTCCACACTTTTCTGTTATCAGGATTCTGAAACTCCAAATATTAAAGGTATTTGTTCTAAACCAAATGATGAAGTTTATGACTAATGCTAGATTGTGTTCAGATATACATCCTCAATCTTTATGGAAGTTGTCCGAAGACTTAAGCTTCCTTTTCTTAGTGAAATGTACAATATTTTACAATTTGAAAAAATTATGAAAAATTAAACATTTTAACAATGAAAAAGTAAATAACAGTTGTTCCCAGCAATGAAAGTTGAATGTTGTTGCCCCTTTGTTTTCACATGCTGGGCAATAGTTTGCACAACACCAAGCCAGAAACATACATGATAGAAGAAAACTACTTTCTCCTTCACCTTTTAATGAGTTACATGAAGAGGATTTTATTGTTTCTGGCCACACTTACTTTGAGATTTTTAGTCACTCTTGACACTAATCCTCAGCACTTCATGGTAATTTTTATTCTCATTCTACATGAGTAGAGACTAGAACACTGAGAGTTTGCCATTTAAAAGAATATGGTATGAGTCTATGTTCAATTCAGGATTGAAATATGTTTGGCTCTTGGATAATTGCTTTAGCTATTCTTACTGCAAGTTTTGATTTATATCAATGTTGCATTTACAGAATATTTTCCTGTGAAAAGAGCATTTCATTTCACTGGACCTAATGGAAGTTTTCTTAATTAGGGAAATAAGTCCAATATTACCAGTCTTTTCGAAGACAGATATTTTCTCCCAAATGGTATTTTCTCCTCCTGATTATGACACGTTAAAGTAGTATTCCACCTAGTCAAGTAATTCAGTATAATATCATTCTAGTATTATATGAACTGTATTCTGTCATAAATGTTTTAAAATTGATATATATGTTTTAAAACATCAGCTCTTAATATGTTTGAGCTGCAATATTCCTATCCCCAGTTCTCGTGTGCTTTTATGCTCCCTCCTAAACTTGGCTTCTCCTATGGTGTCTAGGAGTCACTCACAGATTAAATAAGGACATCTTTAAGAGACCTTCCTTTTTGTTTGGATCAATGACATTGCAGTATCTGTTGGCATACACTGTGTCCTGATAGATGGGCAAGCGTTGACTTACAAAATGCTTTTAGAACTTTGTAAATTATAGTTTAATATATCATAGCTTTTGTTTTGTAAAACATGCAATAGACTTGAACGTTTTCATGATCGATAACCCAGGCACTGATTTATATATCCTGCAAACTGCACCATAACTTCCTGAATGCCACTGAGTTAGAAGGCCTGAATAGCTGATTGATCAATAGGCATAAAACTCTTTTTAAGACAGGTCACTAGTTCATACTGATATACTTTGTTGTTATGACAGTTTAGCGAACTATGAATAATTAATTTCTTTTGTGCACTGCAAATATGACTCATTTGGATAACTCATATATGAAACAGAGCTATTAATTCAAAGCCATTATTTCTAATGTTTAGTTCGAAAAAATCCCATCTGTTTAGAAAATAAATCTATTACGGCATGTCATATTTATTGCATTATATTTTGGCAATATAAGTCACTTATCTTTTTTTATTATTTTATTTTTTTGGAGATAGAGTCTCGCTCTGTCACCCAGGCTGGAGTGCAGTGGTGTGATCTTGGCTCACTGCAACCTCCAGCTCCTGAGTTCAAGGGATTCTCTTGCCTCAGCCGTCTGAGTAGCTGGGACTACAGGCACATGCTACCATGCCGGGCTAATTTTTATATTTTTAGTAGAGACGGGGTTTCACCATGTTGGCCAGGCTGGTCTTGAAGTCCTGACCTCAGGTGATCCGCCCGCCTCAGCCTCCGAAAGTGCTGGGATTACAGGTGTGAGCCACTGTGCCCCACCATGCCACTTATAAAAAGCATGTATGTAGGTTTTTTGCATTGAAATAATTCCAGGGTTTTCAGTGACAGAGAGGACCCTTTGAATTGCCAGCTGTGGCAGGGGAGATAGAGGAACTCATCGTGCTGAGCACCTATTGTGTGCCAGGCTCCATGCCCCATGCTTTGCATACTTCCTCTCTTTAAACCTCCACATCCCATAGTGAACCTAGGAAAATTCTTAAGTAGAATGCTGATATCTTCCTTTTGTCACTCCCTTCTCACTCTAGCAGCTAGTTTCTACCTTTTTTGTTTTCTGCCTTGCCCTGTACACCAAGAGGGCTGCAGGCTCTTATGTCCTCTGGTTTCTGTGGGTTCAGTGTAAGGCACAGGCATGAGATAGACGGCAGGGAGGACAGTGAGGTCATGGCACTTGTGTCCCCTTCCTCCCTGCTTGGTTGCCTTCCTTATATCCCTTTTCTGGGGCCATGGAGCCTGCAGTGCGGCCCCCTCCTTACAACTCACTTTCTCTCTGCATTCTGGGAACTGCTCCCTCTCCTTGTCCCTTAAGTCAGAGGGATAATAACAGCTTCCCATAGTAGTCCTGGGGCACAGCAGTCTCATTTATTGCTTTTTTTGCCCTCGAACACTTATCACACTTTTGTATATAGCAAAATCTCTAACAATGAACCAGGTTAAAGTGCCATCTATGTCTCTCCAGGACTCTGACTGGTACAAGTACCTCCATCAGCATCATGCTTCCAGTAACTAGTTACCTGCAGACCTGAGACTTATACTCAGTTGCAGCCAACTCTAGCATCCAAGGCTTCAGGCCCCGCAGACCCCATCATTGCCATTGGATGGTAGATAAAAGTAGGAAGGCAAGGAAGCAAATTAGCTGTTAGAGAGCTTCTCCAACTTGTGGGCTTAGTGAGCTATCTAGACATCCCTTGTTAGGCATTTGGGGACACACCATATAATGAATGAAGGTATAGGGGCTAGGCACAGTGGCTCAAACCTGTAATCCCAGCACTTTGGGAGGCCTAGGTGGGTGGATCACCTGAGGTCAGGAGTTTGAGACCAGCCTGGCCAACATGGTGAAACCTCATCTCTACTAAAAATACAAAAATTAGCCTGCCATTGTGGGGGGCACCTGTAGTCCCAGCTACTTGGGAGGCTGGGGCAGGCGAATCACTTGAACCTGGGAGGTAGAGGTTGCAGTGAGCCAAGATCGTGCCACTGCACTTCAGCCTGGGTGACTCTGTCTCAAAAAAAAAAAAAAAAAAAGGAATGAAAGGAATGAAGGTATAACAATGAATGTTGCCAGATATGATCTCCTGCTTGCACACATTTAGGAAGTTAATGTTGGCTTGAGGAATATAAAGTTTGATCAGTCACCGTGCCACAACCAAGAAAGTGGTTACTAACACTCAAATACCAGATTTTCAAACTCTAACCTTAAATAATATTTGTAAAGTCCTGTTTTGTATTGACTAAGTAGAATTAACAGTAATATTTATGGAAGAAAAGTGACATAACCCCAAATAATATAGTAATATGGGTAAAATGTCTTTGAGAGACTGGTTTCTTTAGAACCTTGATAAATTTATTGAAATTTTGAGAATGTTTTCATCTTTCTTTCTATGGTTGTATTGATATTTACAGAGTTAAATGAGAATGGAGCACAGAATTCTCAGTTCCTTTATTATTTGAGCACTGCAGAACCAGTGTGACCACATAAACTAGCATCTCGTGGAATGTCTACACATGAGCAAAGTTCTCCTCACCAGTCTACAGTAGGGTCAATTCAGTGGGGTGGAGATGGGAATGGATATGGAACAGGTAATGAGTCTCATCAGCAATGGATTTTTATAGAGTCTAGTTCTTTTCTGTGCATAATCTATGTAGGAATTCTCAGTTTGTTAAGGCCTGTGGTATAACCCACTTACATGTTTTGCTCATTGATGGCATCTATAAACATATAGTTATTTAGGCATTTGGATGTATGAGTCAAATAAAATATATAATCAGATGTTTATTAAAAGCAAACTCAGAAGAAAAATAATTTAGTTTGTCAAGATTGATTAAAATCTGAGGTCGTGAACAGGGAATTTAACACATATGTTAATGAGAAAATGCCAATTAAAAGTTGTTAATTTTATCGCTAATAAGTGAATTTTTTCCCCATATCCCTTCTGGGCTTACTGTGTTCAGTTTTTGTCAGCGTCTCATAAGAAGGCTATTTTTATTTCTATTAGAGAGACAGCTATGATGGCTTGGATAATCAGGATGGATGGGAATGAGGAGCTTGAGAATTCCTTAAGTTCACCTCTTACCTTGGCTGGAAAGTTGCAATGATTTTCATCAGTCATGCTCTAACCTAGAAAGCCAGAAATCCAGGAACTTCCCTTTTTCTCAGTGTCTCCAAAGGTAAAATGGATTGGGCTATTCCTGATCTCATTCTACCACATATACTTCATTCAGGGATGGCCCTGGCCTAGAACTTTGAGAATTTGGGGTGCAGATTCAGTGTTTGCAAAGCTTGAGCAGCCACCTGTGAGGTTATTGCTATGATGTCTTTTGTTTGTTTGTTTGTCTGTTTTCATTCCACCCCAGCAGGAGTCTATCCTCTTGCTGCAGCCCAGGGCAAAGAAGTGGCATGCTCCATAGGAATGCCTTCAGAAGGACACCCCCGTCACCCCGAAGTAGGCTAGGTGGAATTGTGGGACCAGCATATCAGCAACTCGAAGAATCAAGGATCCCAGACCAGGATACGATACCTTGCCAAGGGTAGGTCTTAAAACAGCAGTGGAATTTAGGGAGGGTGTCTTTAATGCCATAGCTTTAAGTTAAGTTTTAAGTTCCTTGGGGTTTTATTCATTGATTTATTCATTAACTGGCTATATATGCTTACTGCCATCTTTGTTCTACAAAAGGTGAACCAACTTTGATGTATAGTTGTGATGGAAAATAGGTATCAGGGAAACATTAGATTAGAAAGAAATATAACTAGGAAGAAAGTAAGTGTAGCTCTCTAGGCAATATGTTATTAGATCATTTGCTAATACAACTGGAAATTTGTCTTTGATTTAAAAAATCAAAGGAGGATTAAAGTGTTCCTTCATCTGCAGATTAGAAAAAGGACCGAATTCTCTGATAAGTATTGTGAACAATACGCTAAACAATAACTCATGGCATACGTACAGTATCTGCTTCCCCTGAGCTTGAATGTAGAATTTGGGTCAATGTTGAGAGTGTAAAGTCAAAGTACAACTTACTGAACTCATATATGCAAGTTAGGGGTAGACGGGTGGGCTTTGGACACCATTGCTGCTACTCTTTACAGTGCAAAAGGTGTCCCTTCCTCTGGTGGACACAGATCCATAGAGGCCTCAAAGCATGGTGAGCTGAGTACAGGATGAATGTTAACCATTATCCATGTAGTTGGCATAAACTGCCCAACTAAACATGCGATCCTTGCTTAAACTGACTGGAATTCAAATCCCATCTCTGCTCCTTACTACTAGTGTGACTGTGATAATATTTTATGATGTGGTCTTAGATGCTCTTATCTATAAATTGAGAAAAATAGACCAGACGCACTGCCTCACACCCATAGTCCCAGCACTTTGGGAGGCTGAGGCATGCAGATCACTTGAGCTCAGGAGTTTGAGACCAGCCTGGGCAACATGGCAAAACCCCATCTCTAACAAAAATACAAAAAATTAGCTGGGCATGGTAGTGTGTGCCTGTGGTCCCAGCTGCTTGGGAGGCTGAGGTGGCAGGATCCTTTGAGCCTCAGAGGTGGAGGCTATACTGAGTGCACATGGTGCTACTGGACTCCAACCTGGGTGACAGAGTGAGACCCTATCTCAAAAAAGAAAAAAAAAAATACAAATAATTGAGTAAAATAATATCAACCCCCTGAAGATTGTTGGGCAGATTTTTAAAAATTATGTGTGTAAAGAGTTTGTAGTAGACACACAGTAAGCAGAGAAGTGGTACTGGTATTTATTGTCACAGTAATTGTTATAATTTTTTCAGCAATTTCAAGTGCAATGCAATCAGGGTTTACTCTAGAAATTTCAGAAATCACTTCCCTCACTCAAGCCAGGTTCTTGTGGCTCTGTTTTTATCTCTCTGAACGAGCCAAGCCAGGTTTCTATGCTGCTTTGGCCTGGATGATTTTTCCAGACTGTCTCTATCAGGCTAAAGATCAAAACGGGTTACGTCTAGCACAGAGCCTCACGTTTCTCTTTTCATATGGGCATGGGATATATGGAGCAGTGTCCTGTCTAACAAAGATCAGCAACAGATTTCTTAAGGAAAACTGGAAGATAGGAAATAAATGGCCGGTGGCTAGGTTTTATAATTTTGAAGCAATTCCAAATGGACTGTAAAAGGCATTTGGTACAGATTTAGGGTGACAGTTGCAAAGTAAACATAACAGCCAAGGGGTTCAAAATGTATAATGCGAGTCAAGAAGCAGTTTGCATTTCTCTTGGTCTTATCTGTGGAAAAGCAGGCTTGCATTTAACCCATAATTATAATTGATCATGTTTCATAGTGCCTTTTCCATATAAATAACTAATGATGCCTCTTATTAGTGAATATGACTATATACATATACATAAACTCCCTGGGATGAATGTTACAAGAACAAGTGAGGGAAAATCAACTTCAGAGATTTTGTGAGTGGACAAAAAACCCAGCTCATGCTGGCCTTTTTTTTCTATTGGGCACTGTTATGACCATCTTTCCATATGTTCGATTAGTAAGGGTGCTTGGAGCCTGTGCCAGGCTCAAGCTTGAACAATGCACATATCATCAGGGGCTCAGAGATCTCATTACATGTTCAGGCAATGCTTTGCTTTTTTAACCTCCTGGGAGACTCACTTATTTTCTGCGTGGTGGTGGTTTTGTTTTGGTTCAGTCACTGTTGGGTTGGAATATTCTCTCCAGTTGCCTGGCCACAGGTATTTTCCCATGTGTGATATCCACCAGATGTTGATAAATGGTGACTCTAAATATAAGTCACTGTATACCCAGCACAATGAATCTCAGGGAGCAATCTCATTCTCAGTTCTTAAAAACAGCCATTTTCCACTCCCTGGGGACTGACTGTCTCTCTGGACTGGAAATGGGATTCGTAATAGAATTTCACAGCTAAAGGCCGTCTTTAAATCTGGCCCCAGCCTGGAGGAGGGGGAAATGAATTTGCAAGAGCCATCAGCCATCTGCTCCTTGTTTACCAAGCAAGTGGGCGCTGTCTATGACAGTTAGGCTTCCAACGTATGTGGCTTCTTTCCTTGGCAAGAACTTCAGCCCAGCTTGAACCTAACATCGATCTTATTGTAGCCTGGGGAAGGAGTGAGGTGGAGAGGAGATTCTTGAGGAAACTTTGTCATGACTGGATCCCTGGTCAATGACAGCCATGGTAATGGCTCACAGAATTTGAACTGTATCATGTCAGGAAAATCAAGCTAATGTATTCATATGCCAGACAAAAAGAGATGGAATCACAAAAGTTAGATTCACACCTTAAAAGCAGATAAAATTCAAAATGTACTGAATACCTACCACACCTAGCTAGCAACTTTATATACTTCTCTTCAGTTATTCTTTAGAAATTTTATTGATAAGCACATTAAGGATATCAGAGTTTAAATGGCTAGCCCAAAGTGACATACACAGTCCTGTGTAAAAGAGCTGCGATTGAATACTGGCTTTTCTGACTAAATAAACCACTAAATCAACAAGGAATGTGAAGAAAAATCACATTTATGGCTGATGATTTGTAAACGGAATATCTAATTTTATGGCTTCAGAGGGAAGCGTGGATGCCTTCAAAATAGTCTGTTCATTCATTTTCATGTGCCCTAGGAACTGAGATGGTTTGGAGTCGCCTAGAGAAACACAAATTCCTTAGCCTGACTCATGAATGACTGGGAACCAAACCAAGTGACTAATAGTTGGAATCTTTCTTCTTTAAAAGAATGCTTCGACTCACATAGTTACAGACAAGATGCATTTGTAATTTCTTTGTTGAGGATGAGAGGAAGACTGGCCCAAAGTGAAATGATAAGCTCATGGACCGAACTTGTGGAAGCATCATTGGCCCTCAAGAGATACAGAACTTTGAATCCTCTGACTCAGAATCACATCTAGAAATTTAGCTCTCACTTAAACTTCTGCTGGAATACCAGTGGTGAGACACTCACATCATGTCTGGGGGGAAGTGAGGCTTGCCACTGTGTCTCTGGTAGAACAGGGCAGAGACATTATTTCAATTAGTCCTCAGAAAAATTTCCCCTCCCTCTGAGCAATCAAGTTAGTGTTACTACCTGATTGTTTTAATTGATGGCAAAATTAAAGTGAGGCTGCCATTTGTCTGAGATTCCAGAGCATATAGTAATTTTGGAACTTGAAATCATGTCTAATTCAAAACAAAATCACAGTTAGGAAAGTTCTCATTGTTTACAGCTCATCTTCATGTCATGGTAACATTTTAAATTTCAGTTGTTACCAGTCATGTGTTCAAAGCCTGACTTGGGAATTGACATCTAATAGTCCACTGCAATTCCTCTTTCTCATCTAAATCCTTTAGTCAGTCCTCTGGCATATGAGAAGAACCCTCAAAGTTTGGCGTGAATTGCCTTTGATTATGTCTTAGTCATGCCACATAGTTGACTTGTTGAATTTATATTCTCTAAGATATTTGCACCTTTTTCCAACTGTTTAGACCCAAGTGTAAGAATTTTTACCTGTCACCATCACATATCAACTTACCAGATTCTACCTGCTGGTATACCCTGATGATATTTGTGGGAAATGCTATCCTGGCTACATTTTTTGTCTCTGTTTCACTGGTGAACCTGACAGGCAGACTTTCTATATTTTCATACATACAAATCATGCTAACAAGATGGTGCTGAGAGCGAAACAAAAGCCTGAAATTTTTTCTTTACTTCTTGTTGAAATTGATTTATTGATTAGAACTTTTAGGCTCATATTTTTAGCTCATATATTTTAGGCTCATATTTCTCATATAACACTAATGAGAATGGAGTAATATTCCCCAAGAATTTCCAAATATGTAGCTGTGCAGTTTGTATGAATAAAGATTACATAACCCCAAAAAGCTTTTCTGGTTCCCCTTAGGATAGTCGTTCATTAGCAACCTCTAACATTGATAGTAATTAGAATAAGACAACTTGGGTTTAAATTCTCTGTGTGACACATACTAAAGATATAATTTTGGGAAAGTCATTTGAGTACCTCTTAGTCTATTTTACGCACCCATTAAATGATAATAATAAATAAACTACAAGGTTTTTTAAAAATAAAATGAGTTAATTGGAGTTGAAAGTGATTTTTACAAGCACTGTACAGATGTTAGCTGTTGTTATTAAGTCTGAAAATAGACATTAAGTAGGATATAAAGGGAGAGTTTACCTTGAAGATTTGTTTATGTATTCATGTGTTCACTCAGTTCAAGTGTATTGATTACAAACTCTGTATTAGGCACAGTAAGAGAGGATGAGCCTACAAAGGCCTAAATCTCTTCCCTGTTTGTGTTCACTGTCTGGTGGAAAGACCTCTAATTTGCTCCCATCATGTCCTTACAATAAAGATTTGTATTTAGTGTGCAACACACTGCATTGCAATTATTATCTACATGTATAAACATGATTTTCATTTACATAATAATGGCAGTCGAGGAAAGGAGATTTATTGTATGGAAGGTTGATATGTTTAAATTGTGTCAAAATTTGAATGTTTACTGTTTAAATTAGGGACAAATAACTAAGAAATAGAATAAAACACTACTGTTCAAGTTCCAAAACCCCATTTCTATAAATCTGCTGCGTACCTGTCCCATTTTCTGTCATGGAACAGCACAGAGGAGACAGATTTACTAGCCCTGCACAGGCAAGAAGGGAACTTAGAAGATTCTGCTATATTCAAATGACTTGTGATGGCATATTGGCATTCTTGACAAGCCCTTGCCATGGACCAAAGAACTACCTTACTTGGTTTCTTGGTTACTTGGTTGTAAGGAAAGATGCTAGATGGGTAGAAGCCCTGTGGAACCCACTTCATATTCATCCCCAGGCAGGTAGAGGAATTGTTAGCCTCCCATTCCCACCGGCTGGCTCAGCAATCTGGCAGTGAGGTGGTTCCTTTAGAGCACAGTGCCAGTGGAAATTGGATTTGGATCCCCTAAAATCAGTGTGAAGCAGAAAAACTCTTGATTGTAGTACCTGGATGCTTAATATTGGGCTTCTTGATTGGCTTCGACTAGGGTGGCCACAACAAGTCTACTGGACTAACCCAGGGCTGAGAGGGTGGTCGAGTTGATGGAGTGGACTAATGCCATTATGGGTGTCCTGTTTGTCACAATGGAAAGGCCACACTTACCTGCTCAATCCCCATTTACTTTGTATTCTAGGATAGAGGTCAGGAAGACTATATCCCACCTGCCTATACAGCTGTGGTGTGTTGAAAGACCCCTGGACTTAAAGTAAGAAGATCTGGGTTTGAGTCTCAGTCTGTCACTTATTTTCTGTGTGACCTTGGGCAAGTCACTTCACCTATCTGAGCTTCAGTTTACTTCTCTGTTTAACTGGGAACCTATTATCCGTCTCATGGGGTTGCTGTGAGAATTCAGTGAGATGGTGCATGTGAAAAGTGCTTTGTGGATTGAGTATTGCTCTAACAAAGCCTGGTAGAAAGCAGAAGGAGTAACACTGTGTTTCTTTTTCAGGTATTCATCCAGTGGTTTAAAAACCCAACGAAATACATCAATAAATATGCAACTGCCTTCAAGAGAGACAAACCCCTATTTTAATAGCTTGGAGCAAAAGGACCTGGTGGGCTATTCATCCACAAGGGCCAGTTCTGTGCCCATCATCCCTTCAGTGGGTTTAGAGGAAACCTGCCTGCAAATGCCAGGGATTTCTGAAGTCAAAAGCATCAAATGGTGCAAAAACTCCTATTCAGCTGACGTTGTCAATGTGAGTATTCCAGTCAGCGATTGTCTTATAGCAGAACAACAAGAAGTGAAAATATTGCTAGAAACTGTCCAGGAGCAGATCCGAATTCTGACTGATGCCAGACGGTCAGAAGACTACGAACTGGCCAGCGTAGAAACCGAGGACAGTGCAAGCGAAAACACAGCCTTTCTCCCCCTGAGTCCCACAGCCAAATCAGAACGAGAGGCGCAATTTGTCTTAAGAAATGAAATACAAAGAGACTCTGCATTGACCAAGTGACTTGAGATGTAGGAATCTGTGCATTCTATGCTTTGCTCAACAGGAAAGAGAGGAAATCAAATACAAATTATTTATATGCATTAATTTAAGAGCATCTACTTAGAAGAAACCAAATAGTCTATCGCCCTCATATCATAGTGTTTTTTAACAAAATATTTTTTTAAGGGAAAGAAATGTTTCAGGAGGGATAAAGCTTACCATTAAAGCTTTTGGGTAGAATTCTGAATCCAATTTCGTTTAGTCCCAACACTGTCCTCTTTGGCTCTTAGAAGATGTGGGCAATTCAGACCCTTGGCCCCACAGTGCCAGTGTCTCATTAAAAAACACTGGCAGTTACCTGGTTTCAAAAAGAGGAGAGCTGCATCCCGCAGGTGGATGCACCAGTGAGCAGGTGGCTCTTGCCATTTGGCTTGCCAGTCCCAAGCCCTAAATTTCTATTCACCCAATAGCCTCATCACAGGTTATGTCATGTCGACACATGTAGTGTTTTCTATTTGATTTTTGGAGAATGCCACAAAAGACTCTGCAATGGGAAGGAGGACAGGAGATAGAAGGAGAAACCGGGGGCAATCTTAACTACTCTTGTGTGCCACCTTCCTCTGAGATTTGAATGCACAGATCTCAGCTGGAGGTATGAAATTATTACAGAAAAAGAGACAAAAAAATCCTTATATCGTGTCACTAAAATCATGCTAATAGAAATGTTTTTCCTTGAGATTGTTTAGAGGCTCTGGAGGAGCGTTTCTCAGTTTTTGTGTGCCTGTGTGCACATGTGTGTGCGAGCGTGTGTGTGTGTGGACTTGCTCACGCGGGCACATATGCTGTAAGCACATGTGTTCATTGTGCGTATGTGTGTGCATGTGTGCGCGTATTACGCTTGCTAAAATTTGTTCTGAAACATCAGGGAATCTACTATTCAGAAAAATTATTTCCCTCTTAGATCTTTTCACTTTAAATTTTTCCATTAAGTATAAAGTTCAGTTAGTTCTTAAATCAAGGTCACTTGCATGGTGGGGTCGTATAAAACTCTTGACACTGTCTAGACCATTTTCTGATGTGAATACTTTTGAGAGGATCAACTATTGGCTCATTAATGATATCAGTATCATAAGGTGAGTTCATCAAGGATGTGTGTTTATTTTGAATCATGCCTACTTAAATTATTAATACAAGACAATTAACAAATTGACAGTTACCATTTGCTTTCTCATCATCCTCATTACCATTTATTTTATAGCAAGTCTGCTATGTGTGGACCAAGGCTTCGGCTTCTGTGGTTAGTATGGGAAGAATAAATTGTTGAAATAAAAATACCCAGACTATTCAGTTCACAAGAAGCCCCCCAAAAGAACAGTAAATTGTGTTGTATGTTCATTTGGAATAAAGCAATATTTTTACCACTGCTAAGGTGAACTGAAACCTCTCCTGAAGATTTGTCTGTTTATTTACCCTCACTTTCATGGGACATATGAGGAAATTAGTGTTCACATATCCAGTCTTTTTCCAATTATTGGTGGTGTTGAGTTGTTATGTTTACACTGTTTTAAATAAAAAGGCACCGTATTTGAAAGCATAAAAGATTTCTTTTACTGCAGTTTTGGAAAACCTTGGTTAAAATCTCTTTGTGGAAGACACATTCCATGGAGAAGGAATGTAACTATTTCTGAGTCAAGCAGTAAATATATACAATTCTTATTTCAGGTTAAGTTGTTTCTGTTGAAAATACATTGCAAATTGCTCCTTGGGAACATGAGTTATTAGTAGACATATTGTCATCCAGAAAAAAGAAAGAGCACTATGTATTTATCAGAACTACTTAATAGAAATTCAAAGTCTCAGATGTTGAAACACTTTGGTAAAAATGCATTTTACATTTAACAAAAGGTTGTGTGATGATATTTATTATTTGTTCTGTTACAGTTCCATCGTTTTGAATATGGAGGTAATATTGGTAGAATTTCAAAAGATTATTATAAATTTGTAATGTCTAGATCATCTAAGTTCTCATTTAAAAATATTATATCTGTGGGAACATTTTAGAAAATGGTCTTAAAAACTAACAGATCTATAAAAACCCGACAAGTTGAGCATCCAATATGTCATTGTGTTGAAATTTATCACAATTATATCAAACACCTGGAAGGCCTCACAACTTTGTTGAAGTCAACCTTGTTCTTGTTTTTTTTTTTTTTTTTTTTTTTTTAACTAAAATGTTATACTTGCTTATCTGGAAGACTGGTTCTGAATTTACCATTAAGAAGTTATATGCTGTGTGACTCACTGCAGTTATTCTAACATATTGTCTACAGTGAAAACATTAAGATTGTCAATGAAACTTATGTCTTGGTCCAACCCCTTTTAAAAAATATGAAAAACTGTGTTATGTGATTATAACCCCACCCCCCATGTATTCTAAAAAAGCATTAATAATCTGGCAAATCCACTGGCAATCTGATATAAAGTTTAGAGATACAATTACTCCCTTAATTAGTAGTCAAGATAAAACCCTCCATAAGTAATCTATATTAATGGTTAGTTTTTAGTGGTCATTTGTCTCCTTTAGGAATGTGATGCTTTCCTATGAAAAGTATTCAAGCTCAAAATTTACATCATTGGGTACCAGCTGACAAGTGCTGATGGCATCAGTACTTTCAAAGGGAATCTAACATAGAAAACACCTGGAGCCATCAGTACTTGATCCTTCAAGCTCATGCGCTTATTTCAACAAAACACATTTGATTTTGTTTCATTTTCCTTGTCTTTATTATGCGAATATATATTTGGAAATTTGTAATTAAATACACTCCATATTCATTATTTACTGGAGAATGGATGGTACCTGCCATTTTTTTTACTTTGACTCATTTTCTGATATGCCTTTTTGTTTTGTAAAGCATATGTTATTCTAATTTGCCTGTGACTACTGTGGGATGCCATTCAAAATATGTGAGCAATCTTATAATGACGAGAAATAGTAGAAATGATTTTGGAAAATTAGCATCAAAATTTTACTCCTAAATTTCCTATGTATATTAAATGCTCTGTGTTTTACACTCTAGCCCAATATCTCCCTTGCTATGGGTTAAAAACTAAATATTTGTAAATTTATCACACCTCCAATGATTTACATCATTTCTAAGTAGCAATAGCAAAGTTGTCTAGAGGAGGAAGAGTGTTGTATATAGGACTTCACAAGTTAACCTGTATTGATCATATTAATAAATCAGACCTACTAAAAAAGAGAACAGAAGAGCCAAGCAGACTTCAAGAGAGTGCCCATTGGCTTCTGGATTGAATGACAGCTACAATTTGAGTGAGGCCTCGGGTGCCCATGGCTAAGGCTATCGGTAACCAGATCTCTACCAGAATATGTCTGATGGATGCCACAGTCATGCACACCAATCCTGCAGTATGGTGCTATAGGGAGCACTGACTTCGTAAGTCTGTGTGTTGGGGCAGAGGGAATAGCGGTCCCTTTGATTCCAGCCCCATAAACCAGAAAATACTGCACTGAAACAAGGGCTGTGAAACATTCCTCAAATAAGTATACAGCCAACCTAGGAACGCAGTAGGAGGGGTGGGATTTTTATTTGATCTTTTGGTATCTGGGAGACATTTTATATATAAAGAATAAAAAAGTATTATTATTCAAATGTATAGATTCGATGTTTTCAATGGATAGCATGTCTATACTGTGTTTGTACTCTTGTCTTCAGAAATTCAGTCCTCATCTAGGCAAAACCAGCACAAGGTTTCAAGGCTGTTCTCAGTTTTAAATGCATCCCAATATGCCCCGGGAAATGAAGCCTTTAAATAAGCTTTATCTCTTCCTAGTTTAATATTTCTTTCCCTTTTAAAGAAATAGTGAGGGTAAAAGATGAAATTCACTCCTTTAGAGCCACAATATTCTCTTATAATCTGTTTCCTACTGTAACCACACATACACGCGCGCACACACACACACACACACACATATAAATTTATATTAAATTCATGAGTTGAATATCTTAGTACTTTTACTTCTGTTTAATTTGACAAACATCAAAGTGATTGCCTCATGGAATGCCAATGAAATCAAAGCACTTAGAGACAAGCCAACTTGGCAACATTTTGATCATATAGGCATTTTTCAGTTCCTTCTCTTTTTTATACAAGCAGAAATAATCTTGGGTTAGAAAATTCACAAGATCCTAGAATAACATCTCTGCTAGATTATCTCTTAGAAATGAACATCTAAAATGAGTGTAAATGATTGTTGTCTTTGTAGTGTATAATGTTCTCAAGTATATTTTTTTATAAATTTAAACATAGCTTCTCCCAGAGGTGCCTAAACAGGTGCCTTTGCTTCTGGTACCCATTAAACTTCAATAAGGACAGTGTGTGTGTGTTGCGGGGAAAGGGGATACTGAGGGCTAATGTTGCATACTCCGGTGAAGATAATAGCAGGTGTAACCAGATGTAATCTTAATAAAATAGAGAACAGCTTTCTAGTACTTTCATAATTTTTTGTCATGAATACCTATATTGATTGCACGTGTACTGTTGACTATGAAAGAATTAATTGTGTGATAGCAAACAATCTCTCATTGTTGGAAATGAATTAGAAAATATTTTCTATTGAAAGTTGTCTTTGTGAAAACTTATACCTTATCTACACATAACACTAGTTTCATGACCTCACCGTCAAATAAGGTGGATAACCATTTATCTCTGATTTCTCTTCCAAATTGCTGGCTTGTTTTCCAGTCCTTCTAACCCAGTCTTTATCTGGTCACCTGTCATTCTTTCACTTGAACACAAGTCTTTACAAAATTGATGGCTGTACGTCTATCTCACTAAGGCTCAAAAATAGTTAGAACCTGTGTATCTATCAGTGGATAATATTTACATTTATAATATCACATTTAATTTCCATAGAGAAAAATACAGGATTGTTTTTGTGGTTGTTGTTAATGTAAATTTACCTCAGACAGGTAATAAAAAAAAGGGATGGACAAGAAAATACCCAATTCCAAAGCTTGAAAAGAAAGGCCAAAATTTGCCCCAGAATTTTTTAAGAAAATGTGATGAATTATCAAAGACAGAACAAGGGGTTCTCTAGAGAAGGCATGAGACCTTGAAGAGGTCCTTCTCTTACAGAGGCAGTGGACACACCCTCATTGGATATTCATAAATACAAGATACTTATTGATATTCTCAATTATTTGCATGTCAAACTTAATATAAACTCTCCTACCAATACTGAATAAATTATCTGGAAATACTTTCACATCATGGTTTAAAATAATCCTATCTCTGGGAGCAGGATAGACAAAAACAATGCAGGGTTTACTTGCATATTTACTTTTGATTGTAATTGCTGTTTTTGACAAATTAATATTTATATGCTCTTTCAGTAGCATCCTGACTAGCACTAATTATTCCATATATAATGTGTCTTGGTCAAGATCCCAAAGTCTGAATTCCTTAGCCTTCAATAAAACAATATGAAATGTTAAAATACTTGACCCAAAGACAGTAAATTGAAGTTAATTTTTTTTAAATTATAAGAAGTCAATGTAGTATTTTACCAAATTGATTTAGAAAAAAAATGCAGTTTTTACTTGTTTTTGATGTATTTAGAGGTCTGATGAACCCTTCATACAACCTTGTTATACACCAGACTGGTGCTTTCCTGTCTGAAATAAATTTAAATTTAAGGGCTCTACAAATCACACACACACAGGGCATACAGCACACATGGTGTGTTGAAACTCGATGACATAGATGACCTTGGATTCAGATATTTTTCATAGAAAGTCTACGCATGCAGCAAGAAAGTATAGTGGTTACTGTTGAAGGCTTATTCTTCACAGCCTGCTTTTGATTCTTGTCTTTATTAATAAAAGTCTGGAAGATAGATAACACATTTATTGAAACTGATACAAATACAACATGACAACTCACCTTAAACATTACTACACACTTGCCAGTGGCCACTGTGTATATTTTAAGAGAGCTAGAGAGAAATGCTGTGGCTGTCTCTCTCTTTTTGTTTTTTTGTTTTGGTTTTTTTTTTGAGACGGAGTCTCGCTCTGTCGCCCAGGCTGGAGTGCAGCGGCGCCATCTCGGCTCACTGCAAGCTCTGCCTCCTGGGTTCACGCCATTCTCCTGCCTCAACCTCCCGAGTAGCTGGGATGCTGTGGCTCTCTCTTATTTTTTAAGCATGCAATTGTACACACTAAATCAAAATGAGTTCCATAGTTCTTCATCATTAACAGATTTTATTAATCCATTTGGCCATGTTTTAAATAAGGAATGTAAATCACACACAGAATACATGAAAAATGGTAACCAGAATATTTCCAATTGTCATTTTAAAAACAATTTCTAGGAAACAATATCTCACGCCTGTGATAACAAATTTGTTTAAAAGAGTGTACACGTAGCTCTATTTTCTTCCAACAACCATTTCAAAATGGCGTCTCCTGCACTGAGAGGATATGAAGGCTATGGAAAATATGCTGGACTTATGGCCCTCAACAACTTTGTAGCGTTTACTTCTACTATGGCTGCATTTTGTTTGTGGGGAGATATATCATACTCCTTATTAAAAATTAAGATGTGAATGTAATCATCGATTTGCATGTTGACTTTGTCAAGTAAGCTTTTATCTGTGGAGGGAATCCTTGGCCACCATTTCCCAATTTTATCTCCTCAATAGCCTTTGCCAAAGCTGGACGGTCAGCTTAGGTTGTATTCTTACTGCATTCACCTCTTATCTCATTTCCTCTTTATTAAACAGGGAACTTTCAGCTAAAATAAGAAGCTAATGTGATTTTGTAGAGAAAGATAGCTTTGTTCATTTGAGTTGTGTTAGTAGAGGGATAAATTAGGAACATTTCAAATGTAGATGATAATAAGGTTCATGACTTTAGCCACTATCTTCTCATATACAGACATAACCCTAGGGCCCGTAAATTTTCCTTATGTTGCAAACAGACTTTTTAACCTTCTTAGAATTGTTTCCTACAACAATATTTTTCATTTTATAAGAGAAAGACACAATCATCCATTTATGTAAAAGAAAAAACCAATAAATTAAAACCACATACTCATTATTTAAACAATGAATAAAAAACCAATAACCATGTGTGTAAGGGCTTCAAATTAAACATTAAAAATTAAATATAGTCTAAGGCTAAAACTATTGTAAGGAAATATGAGGCAAATGTTTTGCACAATAAAATCTGTTTTTTAAAAATATCTCTTCCCTGTAACTACACTCTTCTTTCTATATGGATATTTTATTTTTTAAAGAATTGTCTACTGGGCATTAAGTATGCATGTTGAGCTCTAACATTTAAATATACTAAATGTCCACTTTTTCATACCTTCAAATTTAACACAAAATTTATGAAAATCTCAGTTTAAGTTGGAAAAAAAATACAAATCTGTAAAAAGAAATCATTAACTTTTATCCTGTCCTTATTTTCTCACTGACAACTTTCACTGAAGGCTCCCATCTTTTAAGCTAAACATAGGAGCAGGTCTGAATCAAATATAAGGGCAGATGTAAATATATTTTGAAAATTAAAATGTGTAACACAGACACAAGTAGTTGCAATTTTTCTTGGGTCCGAATGACCTAAATAGCTGAAAAGCATGCAACAAAGTTTGAGAAACATGGGGCATCCCTTTGTCAAAAAAAAAAAAAAAAAAAAAAAAAAAAAAAAGAAGGTTATCCAGCAGATTTCAGCTGAAAAGAAAGATGAAATGAATAAGCACTACTGTGAGCCCTTTCTCCAGGCAAAAAGAAGAGACAGGAACCTGACTGTATAAACATTTCCATAATACATAAAGTCAATTAAAGATTTTCTTTTCACCCTTTTTAAATCTTATTTAAGAATTGTCACTGAAAGTGTGAAAAAAGTCAACCATTAATTCACCATGCTAAAATCATAGTAACTTGTATCTTTGTATATTTTTTCTCATTTTCCACATATAGGCATATTTTTACAAAATTACTTTCCCACTGTGTTGTATTATAATTTAAAACATTATATATCATATTGTCCTATGGCGATACATTGTCTTTATAAACATTTTATTTAAAGACTGCATAAATTCTGGTTTGCTTTTATATTATGACTTATGTAGACATTCTATTATTATTTGACACAAATTCACCCAATTTATTTACTACCATAACTAACCCCACAATTAATACTACAACACACATTACTTTTTTTCTGGAAAGAAACTGCAGATCTATAAACACATTTCATAAGATCTGTAAAGACCTGAAATTGTAATTCTTGTGAATAGGTTAGTGAATGCATTTTCTTTTTTGTGAAGTGGAAAGGTCTATAACTAAAAATTACATAATGTTTAGAAAAAATAGGTGAGCCTCAATGGTTAAGATTATTTTCTTTAAGTAATTTCCTGGTCATACTTTGTAAGAAGTGGTACAGCTGCGTCAAAAAGTATGACCATTTTGGAAATTCATTTTAGATATTACTCAACTGTTTTCTGGAAGTGGCTAATATATACAGTTTTAACATTCATCGAGCCTTTTGTTTATTTTGTATTTGCTTAACAATATAACAAATTGTGGTTAAAACATAATTGATTTGGAATAGTCAGAAATGCATTACTTTAATAAAGCTTAATTTTATTTTTAATTAAAAATATTACATGTTTACACATAAGATATATGAGAAGAAACGTTTTAGAATGACCAAAATACAATCGCCATTAATATTTGAGCACACTCCCTTCCAATATTTTTTATGGAATGTATACTTACTATGTGTCTCTTACAAAATTGGAGTCATCTAGTATTTAAAATATTTTATCCCACTTTATTAACTTTACGTACAGTCTGGTAATTTTCTTCACTAGTAAAGTATCTTTATACATATGCTTAATGGCTATACAAGCCATTATATGCGTACATTAAATGCATAAGCACATTCATATTTCAAAGTGTTCTCTAAACATTGATCCTATAATATATTATTAAACTGATTTTAAATGTTTACTACCTTTGACTTACATCAGTATTTAATAATATATGTACACACATATGCATTAATATTTTCTGGGCATAAACATATTTTCATATATAGATAGACAAAGATATTTGGTTCTCCCACAGTATTAATTTTGTTTTTAAGCATCTTCATGGATTTTGATCACCAATATTACAATATTTTGTTAAGATAAACAGACAGCTGTACTTTTTTAAAATCCCCGGAGAAACCACTGCATCACTGACTACATTTATACCTCCTAATTCATACTGTAAGAAGAAGGAAGAGGAGGAAGAGGAGAGGAGAAGAAGAGGGGAAGGTTTTTTAAATGTCATCAATCTTGGAATAAGGAAGAAGTGACATTATTATGCAGGAAAACCATTTGAAAGAACTGTGAATATGCATGGCATTAGATGTTTTACATACATTAACTTAGTCATCATAATAACTCTATAAAGTATGTATTCACATTATCCCCATTTTAAGATAAGAAAACTAAAGTACAGAGGCTTTAAAAAACATGCCTAAGCTTATACAGATAAAAACATTGTAAGGGACTGCATTTCAACCCAGAATCCCTGTAGCCTTCCTTTATATTTTCTCATTGTTATTATTTTTTTCTTGTACATTTCTGATAGTGATCCGTTAAATGTTCAAGACAGGTTAGAATCCTCAGGACTAAGCAAGGATGATTCTGATCCTAGTTCAACAATCCCATAGATTGGCTAGAATGAGGACAGACCACAGAAATAATAGATGGAACTGGATGCACGCAATTATGTGACTTATTGGAAATTCTGATATACAAAATAGAGCAATCAGAAATTTAACACCATTGCTATTTCTTGTCCCAAATGTGACAGGCAGCAGTGTCAGAAAGAAAGCCAGAAGAGCCATATCCATGGCAGTCACTATTGCTTCCATCTTGGGAAGAATGACAATAAAATGGCAATCCTTACCTGCTTCAGCCCCCTAAGAACCAATACCGTGGGTGGCTCCACTTCCCTGCTCATTCACTTCAAGGTGCCAAGTCACTGAAAAACTATTATAAATTTATACTAGTCATCCCTCAAGCCTATGATCAGAATAAAGGAATTTGTGTGCAAGAATGTGGTCAATAGAAGAAATAAAGAAAATTCATTTGACCTCTTCCACAACCACCATTTTTAGACACAAGCCCTGGAGAAATCTCTGCACAGACAAGGCAGAGAGATCATAAAATATCTCAGCAGGAACACTGTGAAGCCATTCGTAGGCATAAACAAGGCCAAACATATCGCTTTCAATATAAAGAGGTCATGACTCCTTTCAAAATGAGATTTGCTCTAGTGTTGCACCTTAGAAATTATCTCCTCTTTCACTAAAATATAAGAAAGTATGTACTCAAAAATGAGACAAAAGGCTAAGGTCAGTGGGTGACAGTAAAAAAGAGAACATATAAGGAATAAAGTTAACAATTTTTTTTAAAAAAAGAAGAAACAAAGCAGAAAAGAAATTTGACAGAGTTAGTAAAAAGGAAAATTGTCGACATAATACCATGCCCCAGTACAATGGAAGTTAAGAAACAGGAAGCTGTCTAATTTTCTACTCTTCCTCCCTATTGTTGTTATATATTTGTCTCAAAATTTTAAAATAATAAAAGATAACTTAAAAATGTTAACTTATAACAAACAAAAATAATTCAACGCTACTAAATAACAAATGTCAAAGGGAAATAAAAGTTTCAGTTAAAGTAAATTTGGAAAATAAAAAGAAAGCCAAAAAATATTTAAAACCAGCCAAAGTGATACTCAGTGGCATTCTCAGAGTTTTAAACAATCAGACAGAAACTCAAATATGGGAATACAGGGCTGAATTATTTTGGGCACTAAGGCACCATGGTTCTGAGGGAATAGAGTAAGGAAAGCAAGGATGAAGAAATCTCAGAATTCAACATTTAGGCAGGAAAGGGCTGGGGAGATAGACTTTGGTGCTTCTAGAAGATACCATCAATAGTGCTATCAAAAAGGACAACTCTCCCCTCAGCAGCTGAATACCATCTAGCCTCACCTACCTTAAATATGCTCAGAACACTTACATTAGCCTATGGTTGGGCAAAATCGTGCAACACAAATCCTGTTCTATAATAAAGTGTTGAATGTCTCATGTAATTTATTACATACTGCATGGAAAGTGAAAAACATAATGGCCATATGGGTACTAAAAGTATGATTTCTTCTGAGTGCATACTGCTTTCGCACCATTATAAAGTCGTGAAATCCTAAACTGAACCATTGTATATCGGGGACTGTATATGAATATGTTAAGTATATATTATATGATTAATAATATATGTTTTATATATACATTATATATAAAATATAATTATAACACAATATAATATATAATTAATATATATACACACACTTAAATATACACATACGTACATAGGAGTTAACAAATTATACTCTTTCTCTCCAAATTTTGACTTAGGCCCAAAGGTTGGGAAAAATAGAGTCGGTATTTTGTGCCTCCACTTCCTAGAGCAAGCTTTAAGTTTCCTCAGAGAGGCATGCTGAATGTTGTTAAAACTGTTTCTGCCAGCATTAGCACTTACACACTATAAAAATGTCAGCTTCGAAAGGGGAGCTAGTTATTTTTGAGAGAATTGTCAAAACTCTATGTTGTCCTATTTCTTCTTTTTCTTTCTTCCTTTCCTTTTTTTTTTTTTTAGATGGAGTCTCGTGTCACCTAGGCTGGAGTGGGCAGTGGTGCAATCTCAGCTCACTGCAACCTCAGCCTCCCGGGTTCCAGCGATTCTCCTGTCTCAGCCTCCCGAGTAGCTGAAGCTGCAGGTGCATGCCACCACACCCAGTTAATTTTTGTATTTTTAATAGAGACGGGGTTTCACCATGTTGGCCCGGCTGGTCTCAGACTCTTGACCTCAAGTGATCTGCTTGCCTCAGCTTCCCAAACTGTTGGGTTACAGGCATGAGCCACCCTGCCCAGCCCAATGTTGTTTTGTTTTTCAGATGAAGAAAAATGTTTTTCTCTCTCATCACGCCAAGTGCTACGGCATTCAGAAGACCTTTGATAGGTCCTATGGTATCTGTTCTCTTGAAGAGATCCTGGGAAAAATGAAAGACCAAACATTACGACTGAGCTTGCCTGAAACTGAAACTTGGTAGATTGAAGAGACTGAGACATAAGGAGTGGGGACCTATGTGTTTGTCTCGGGTAAGGATGTATAACCCCCTACCTCCATGAGTGCCCAAGGCAAGAAAGACTACCCGGAGGAGCAACGTGACTACCAGGATGCTGAAGGAGCTACCTTCTGCATGGGTGTCAGCTATGTCAGATGAGAGGCACTCATAGCTTTCTCCAGGTAGACATTCCTCAACAACTCCAGAAAAGTGCTCCATAAGAAAAAGCTCAAGTATTTGTTCAACTGCCTTATTAAAAGGATGGAATCTATGCCTGCCCATTTTATTATTATTATTGTTATTTTTTTGAGATGAAGTCTCGATCCGTCGCCAGGCTGGAGTGCAGTAGTGCATTCTCGGCTTACTGCAACCTCCACATCCTGGGTTCAAGCAATTCTCCTGTCTCAGCCTCCTGAGTTGCTGGGACTACAGGCACATGCCACCACACCTGGCTAATTTTTGTATTTTTAGTAGAGACGGGTTTCATCCTATTGATCAGGCTGATCTTGAACTCCTGACCTCAGGTGATCCACCTGCCTCCGCCTCCCAAAGTGCTGGGATTACAGGAGTGAGCCACTGCACCCAGCCTCCATTTTATTCTTAATTCCTCACCACATGGGTCTAACTGTGGGGGCAGCTACCATGGCCAGCGAGTGTGAAAGAAGAGGAGTGAGGATGAGGGAAGTCAATCAGTCTCCCCCTTTAGACTTCCAGATCAATTCCCATAAACACTTGGATCACAAAGTCTTTTTGTCTTCCTAAGAACATTTGGTATTTCACTATATTAATGTTTGACAGAATCTTCTTTTGGAAAATTACTATTATCCAATGTTATTTATAAATATATATGCATGCAACCTAAATAAAATACTTGCAAATGGATTACAGTCATGTAATAAAGAAGAAATCACTGTGACAGCATAAGATTTATTTTAATTATTTGGAGACATCTTGATATTAGTGCATTTTGTAACATGATTTATCTCCACAGATAGCAAAAATCAGATATATGATTCAATTTCTATTTCTGAAAAAAACCATTTAGTTAATTGAAGGGGGTGGGTATCTACTTTAACAACATAAAGTCAATGGTCAACATTAGTCATAGCAGTTAGACATTGCATTCATTTCCATTAGAATAAAGAACAAACCCACTTTTCTACTATTATTACTATTAACTAAGTTAACACAGATGAGCAAGATCTGGCAATAAGAAAGGAATAAAAAAAGAAAATAGATATAAATGTGACAAAGGTGGAGTCACAATGATCCAAATGAAAATTCAAGTCAACAGAATGATATTATAAGTGATTTCAGTTATAAGTCTATAAACCAAAGAGGATAAATGACTAGAAAGCATAGGCCGAATAAGATCCAATTTGCAATATTAACATAAATATACGTCCCTTTGAAATAAAACTAGTGAAACTAACAAACAAAGAGAACATTAATGAAGATTTAAATAAATGATAATACAATTTTCTCTTAATGGAAAATCTTCATATGATAAACTTGCCAAGAATCTTCAATTTCATTCATAAATAAAACACACTTGAAGACAAGACACACTGAGAGGGTTTTGGAGAATATATAGATGAAAATACTCAAAATCATTTTGAAAAGTTAAACTATATGGAGAGAATGAGGGACAATTTAGTATATAATCAAAGATAATCTTGTGGTACAACAATTACACTTATTGTGGTGTTGCGAGTATAAGGACAAGTGAAACATAAGCAACAGCCCAGAAACACACTGATGAATTAAGAAAATAGAAATTAAGGGCATTCTAAATCAAATTCACTTTATTCAAAAATGGTATTAGAGTATTGGCGATCTTAAAAAAGGAAATATACGTCCCTACCTCATACCATATTTTATCATAAAATACACTAGATTAAAGAGTGAAATGAAATCACACAAGAACAAATAAAAGTACGAAAGACCTAAATGAAATATAGGATGCTGGAGGAGTTACCTGCTGCAGGGATGTCAGCTATGTTAGATGAGATACACTAACAGATTCTCCAGGTAGAGGTTCCTCAACAACTCCAGAAAAGTGCAAGAAATTGGGCAAGGAATTTCTAGGAATTAAGCTAATAGAAAAACCAAAAATGAATTAGATTTATGGGAATGCAATTTAAAATTAATATCTGTAAAAATAGAAAGAATATGATGAAATTAGAATAATATTTACAACATAACAAAAGTTTACTATTCTAAAGAGCTCTTAAAAATAAGAAAACAATAAACACTCAAATATCAATTAATTAATTTATTATTTTAACAAACAATTGCATACCTAGTATTGCTGAGTACTGTTCTAGAAGCTGAGGATATAGCAATGAACAGGATGGCTCAGTGAAGACTACATATTAATGGAAATATGGGTGCATGGCAGGAACAGGAAAATGATCTGATACACACACACAGAGGAGAGAGGGTCATGGGGCCAGTCATCAAGTATCAGAGATCACATGACATGAGAGAACAAATTGCAGTGTGTATATATGAGTTTTATCTTTTATTTGAAATATTTCATAACAGAAGTTGTATATAAAAAGTTACATAATGATTTATATATAAAGATATTTACTATAGCTTATTTATAATAGAAAAAATAAGATAATCAAGTGTTTAAATAAATCATATTTTAAATAATAATGAAAACATATTAACCCCATATAAAGTTGAAATATTCTTAGATATTGTTCCCAGTATTACACCAAATTAAGGATGTAGAATAAAACTGAATTATAATTTTATAATGTAAGTATATATATCATATTCCTTCTCATCTGTTCTTTAGATGTATGTACATATATGGGCAAAGCAAACCTAATAAAAGCAAATGACAGAAACTTACAAATGCAGCCACAGATGAAGGCCTAATTAAATTATGATACAACAGTAGGATGTAATAGTATTAAATTATTAAATCTCATGCATTAGAAAATGTTCTCAAAAGAAGCAATTGGAAGAAAACATTAAAATATAAGCAATGATTATTTCTGTATGGTAAATGTTGAGAATTTTATACAGTTTTCAACATGTTGTATTTTTATAATGGTCATATTTTACTTTTATATTCAGAATATATGTTATATATAATTTTTAACAGTTCAATTTAGGGAACCCATTTCAATATTCCTTGACAAATAATCACTTTGTTTCCTATCTTTGCAATCCTAATTAGTACATTGTTTTATGTTTTTTTTATTTTTATTTTCTAAGGGATGTGCCTTTTAGTCCTTGGCAAGCCTCTTTGGTTTGATTAACGGAGGCTTCTTTTCCGCTCCTCTGCATTGCAGCTGTTTATTGTGGAGAAGGTGACAAAAGGCAGGACAATGTTCTTGCATTCTCCCCACAAGGTCTTCCATTTTCCAGAGATTGGAAATACGGTCTCAACAGCACTAAGTTGCTGTAACAAATTCCCTCTCATTTTGCTTACACCCGGGGCAAACGGCAATTTTCTTCTCAGTTGTTTTCCAACTCTGAAAGCTGATGCATCTTTTGTCTATTACTTAAGACTTTGCAGATAGTTCCCAGACTCAAACCATCCATGAAAACTTTTGGCCTCTGGTAAGCTGAAGCCACGAATAGACTTGGGGGTTTCAAAAAATGTCTTAAAATCATATGAGGTACTGATCTGGTTCATAGAATTCTATTTGCCCTTAACAAAATTACATTTAATTATTACTACTCCTTGAAGCCAAACTGAAATGTATATTCATGCTCTTTGACAATGTGAAGTCTGAGGACGGAGAGGACAGAGAACCGGGGCGCCAGATGTCAAGTATCAGAGCCCATGTGACAAGAGAGAAATAATACTGTGCTACTGACCAAACACGGTGTTTCCAGTGTGGTGAGAAAGGGTTCTGGCCTCCCCTTGTGAGCTTACTGGCCTCTCTCTTAAAACCCATGATGGCCAGCTGTTTCCTGTGCAGAGTGATTGGGTGGACAGAATGGGTGAAATAATTCTTCATACATATGTCCCCATATGTAACATGTCCATGTGTTTTCTCCCACCTTCCCTTCCATAAGTATTAATATTTATTGAGTGTTTACTGCATGTGGGATCAAGGTCTAGAAGTTGCAGATACAGTAGAAAACAAAACAGACAAAGTCCTTACATTCATGGGGCTAGAATACTGTGGGGAAGGCAGACAATGGATGAGCTAACGAATAAAAATTTCAGCTTGAGATTAAAAAAAGAAAACCTAGGCTAACAACAAGTATTTGGGTAGGAATGGAAGTTGGGGGAGACATTATAGACCTCTGGAGATTCCATACATGTCAAAATGGGACTGAGCAATTGAAGGAGTCACCCAGTCAAAGACTTGGGCAAGGACAACCCAGGCAGAAGCAACGGCAAGTGTGAGTCACTGAGGTAGGAGGAAGGTTGCCACGCTGGAGTGGGAGCAATAGGCTGGAGTGCCATGTAATAGAGTCAATTAGGATGAGTTGAGGGAGATGGCAATGTATGGCTGGCTGGCACAAGCCAGGTCATATAGGGCCTTAGAAATGGCATGGAACTTTGATTTTAGGTGCAATGAAATGTCATTGGAGAGTTTTAAAGAAAGAGGGGATCTATTCAGATTTTCTTCTAAAAGGTGACTCTAGCTTCTGTGCAGAAAATGGCTTCAGGGTAGTAAGAGTGAAGGACGGAGAAGCTGATGGAGTAACACAGGTGAGAAATGATGGTTCACTGAACTGGGTTGCACACAAGCAATTACACACAGTTAAAGAAAAAGTAACTTCTTTAGCATTTTACGTTTGCAGTGGAGTTTCTCATGCTTTATCTCAAATTATTTTTAAGGTCCCTTCCAATTCTAAAAATCTGGTGGTTAATCCCTTAGGATATTAGGGGGACTCAACAATAACTTTTTCTTTCTCCACAATCATTGTAATATATTCGATAGGATCCTTGCACTGTCCATATCTATCCCAGTGTATATTGACTTAAAAATGCTGTTTTCAAATTTTGAATTTTAGAGAATTTCTCAGATCGTATTGCATATTTTTGCTGTTTCAGATGCTACAAATCAATTTTTAGATTAAAATTTGATCCTTATGGTTCAATTTGTGCTTTCAGTTCTATAGCCTGTGGAGCTGGACTACACGAGTGACTTCTCAGTCAGGAAGTGATGATGATACCTGTACAATAGCTGATACGTTGTGTTATGGCTAACAAAGTTAATATTGAGGAGCAGAATTTAAGAATTCCTCCCTTATTGTTCCAAACAATTCCTGCTTTACAAAAATTATATGATGATCTTTGAAATTGTGACCAACCTTTATTCATTCAACAACTTGGTAACATATCGGTTAATAAAATAGAAATGGTCCCAACTTGCACTGCTTACAGTGTTTCTAAGACCACAAAATGAACAACAACAACAAAAAAAACCAGCGTGGGTGTGTTTGTGAGTGCATGTGTGTGTTGATAAACATCATGAATAACATGGATAGGCCACAATGACACAGAGTGGATGATATGGCATCCACTTTTTAAGAGTGTTAAGAAGGACCTCTCTCAGAAGGACATAATCAAGGCCACTCATGCTTCACCCATGTGAAGAGGACGGGGGACAGCATTCCAGCTAGCAGGAACTTCATACCTAGAATTTTCTAGTTAGGAAAGGACCTTAGCAGTTCAGAGATGGGAAAGAAGGCCAATGGGGGCCTAGACAAAAAGACTAGCGACCCTGAAGAACAGGCAGAAGTTAGATCGTAGTCCAGCTCTTCCTTGGTGGTAAGGGTTTTGGATTTTAGTTCATGGGCATGGGAAAGACACTAGAGAACCTAAGGGGTGAAACACGGTGATCACCTTTATTCACTTATTTATTCACTTATTTATTCATTTATTCACTTATTTATTTGTTCGGACTATTACTCTGGCTGCATATGAAGAATAGGGTTGAGAAAGACAAGAATTGCAAAGGTGTAGCCCAATAAAGAGATTATTTCATGGTTAGAGGAGACATGATGGCTGCTTGATTTACATTAGAAAGGAAACACATGGGAGAAGTTGACAAATTAAAGATACATTTTGGAGACAGACTTTATAAGACATGATTTTAGATTGATATGAGGTAAGGGAAAGAAAAGAAAAATGGATAACTCTAGACTATTGACTTTAGTAGTGGTAGATGAAGATGTCCCTTTACAGAAAAAGATGCCTGCAAGTAAAGGTTTGTTGAGAAAAATCAACTTGACTGTAAATAAATGACTTCGTTCCCAAGTGTCAGGAAATGCTTAAAGACCATTAAGACAAAGGCAACCTCCTGTCGGTGTTAGCTAAAGAGGGTAAAAGGGGTTTCCAACCAAGGAGTTAAAAATAAAATAAAAGTTTAAAATCCAACATTAGAACCTTAAATGTAAAAGCAGCACTGGTTAAGAAAATGGATGAAGAATACCATGGCTGAAGCAGGGAGAGGAGGCAACAGAGACTAAAAAGTAGAATGAGGTTAGAGAAGGACGGCAGAAAAAGGGCTTAATGAGAAGGAGGAGGAGGCCAGTAAAGATGAGGATGAGTACTAAGACAACACTAGCTAATGTTTTCAACCATTTTGCACTAGTTACATGGGCTAGGTTGTACAATAGTAACAAAGTCTCCAAAATTTTGTGGTTTAAAACAACACTGGTATAGTTCTCACTCAAGCTTAATGTGTGTTTTTGATTAATTGAGTGTTCTGTTCCATACTGGCCTGCCTCTGAGACCCTTGATGAGTGGGCACCATTTGGGACATTGCCAGTCATTGTGGAAGGAGAAAAGAAGGCATGGCAAATTACATTCTACTTCTTAAAGCTTTTGACAAGAAGTTAACACATATGACTTCCACTCTTATTGGCCCAAGTCAGGCACATGGCCACACCTAATAAGAGGATGATGAAGGGCAATCCAATTATATTCTTGGGAGAGCTGAAGTGTTTGGTGGACCCCCCAAATGATATCTATCTGCCACACTTCAGTTGGATTATCTCATTTAACCTCATAATGCTCTGAGATCCTTTTCATTCCCACTTTATAAGAAAACCAAATTTAGAATAGGTAAGTAACATCTGGTTTACAGAGGTTAGGATACAGACATGTTAATGACGGGCCACAGTCTGAACTCAGAGAATAAATGCTGAACTCTTAGTTATACCACCTGCACTGCCCATATCCGGGATCTCAACTATGTTCCAAAGCAACAAGAAAGTATTTAAATGTTTAAAGAGAAGAGTGGGATTTCCATTTTAAGAAATAGTGGGTATGAATTTCAATACAAAACTGAAATATTCACAAAAGTTTCCCTTATGAATATTTCTGCCTTATTATACATTGATCTTAATTTTTGGTACAAACCACTGTTCCAATGGCATGTGAAAACTTAATTTGAGTCCATTTTGAGCTACTATTTTCATTGATGAAAGCATCGGGATGTAGACAATGACATTTGCTCAAAATGATTACTCTCTATTACTGTTTGTATCTGTTGAGATACTCTTAATTTTGTTCATTTGTCTCTGAGCGTACAGACAGGTTCCCAACATTGGTCTTTTGGGTCTGAGATTATCTCAGCTAATTTCAGAGCATCCACTGGCTCAGTGGAAATGACATGCTACCAGAAACCACTAACTCAGGGAGTTCTCCATTTGCATTTGTGTACCAGTCAGGAATTGCATGTAGGTGTTAGAAATGGGGGGCAGGGTACAGTGGCTCACGCCTGTAATTCCAGCACTTTGGGGGGACGAGGCAGGTGGATCATGAGGTTGGGCATTAGAGACCAACCTGGCAAAGGTAGTGAAACCCTGTCTCTATTGAAATACAAAAAATTAGCTGGGTGTGGTGGCAGGCATATGTAATCCCAGCTACTCATGAGGCTGAGACAGGAGAATCGCTTGACCCTGGGAGGCAGAGGTTGCAGTGAGCCAAAATCGCGCCACTGCACTCCAGCCCAGGCAACAGTGCGAGACTCCGTCTCAAAAAAAAAAAAAAAGAAAAAGAAAAAAAAACAGAAATGGGAACAATGCACCCACACCACCACTAAACATTGTCTAGGTCAGGACTGTTATGAAGGCTTTATAATTATGTCAAAAATTAGATGCCTTAGAGATCTCTTCTCCATCTTTAGGGTGAGAACTGTATCTTCATGCTTCTTAATCTGTAAAATTAAAAAGAAACAGTCCTTATCAGTTGAATCTTTTTTATTTGGGTATAATGCTGGGGAAGTCAAAAGCATCCTAACTAATTTAGTTCCTATGCTTTTATAAGAATTGTCTAAACATTTCTACTAGCTGAATAAGATTGTAAAGGCTGACAGGAACCTATAAGAAGAGAGAAGATTGAAGATAAAGAAAATAAAGATGAAGACTGATACAGTAAAGTTCTAGAAAAAGTGAGGAAAACTGGGCTCACTGGGAAGAGTGGAATAGTAGCCTGCAGTGGGATAATGGGCACATCATTCCACATGACTGATGAAAAGAAGAGACAGTAGATGCGACTGCAGATATATGAATGTGATGTGGTCCTAAAATTATGCTTGTAGTGAATCTAAATGCATTGGTTTGTTGAAAATAAGATAACTAGACTGGGCACGGTGGCTCATGCCTGTAATCCCAGCCCTTTGGGAGGCCAAGGCGGGAGGATCACCTGAGGTCAGGAGTTTGAGACCAGCCTGGCCAACATGGTGAAACCCCGTCTTTAAAAATACAAAAATTAGCTGGGTGTAGTGGCAGGCACCTGTAATCCCCTACTCGGGAGGCTGAGGCAGGAGAACTGCTTGAACCTGGGAGGTGGAAGTTGCAGTGAGCTGAGATCACACCATTGCACTCCAGCCGGGGCGACAAGAGCGAGACGCCATCTCAAAATAAATAAATAAATAAATAAATAAATAAATAAATAAATAAACAAGATAACTAGCTTGGTAGAGAACTGAAGGAATGTGGTAAACATATCACATAGAAATTGATAGAAATGATGCGGGGAGGTAATCAAATAAATGGATTTAAAGTCATTCTTGGGACCAAGCTGAGTTTAGAAACCTTGGACGTGGAGTGGTTATCAATCTGAATCTCTGGTGGGAGGACAGTAGAGAGGGAGAAGATAGGTTGGAAAATGTATCCAGGGTTTGGGTTTCCTCTGATAATTAAGACAGAAGGGCTGGACCACAGAAGAGTTGATGTTAAGAATATGGGTTACCCAGATTATTTGGGCACACATGAGTGGCTACAGAAGGAAGAAAAACTAGGAGCCTTTTGATAAATTAAGGGGAAATGAAAAGAGCAATAACAATGTGAGAATTACACAGATAGCATCGATTGGGTGTCTTTGTGTGCCAGGTGCTGTGTTGCATAAGCAACGACCTCAGAGACTGATATTACTTCCTTTGTTCAGCTGAATCATTTTAGCCTTAGAAAGATAAGTAGTTTTCCTTGCAAAAATCATTGATTTACAAGTAAGATTAAATTCCAGGTCTGTCTGACTCTGGTGTCTAAGTTTCTAACCTCTGAGGGCTTGGAGTTTACTAAGAAATCAAAAGCAATAGAAATGAGTGTGAAGCACATGGAAGAGTGGGAGGTTGTGGTCTGAGGGGGGGAATGTTTAAGGTCCAGTTTCATCATTTAAGTCATTACTGCTAATGCCTAGATTAAGGATATGTGTGACCAAAATTGAAGAGGGGTGAAGATCACTCTATAATGGGCTCCTAGAAATTGCAGCGACTGTCTTCTTGGAAGGATTATATATAGAACACTGACATTTGCTAGAATTATAGCAAGCATTAAAATGGAAGGATGGGGAAAGAGAATGAGAGAAAGAAAGGCAGGAGTTGCATAGCTATGGGAACTAAAATTAGAGATTGAGGAATAAGAATTTATTGTAATCATGCAGGAATGTCTCACAAACCCAAGGGCGTTAATGCAACTGGGCCTCAAGAAAGGCGGATGAGGAGCAGGAGGAATGTAGGCAAAATCAATAGTGCTATCAAATGATCTTCTTTTATTTGAGCAACTTTCTCTGCTCTGTAGTGTACACAGTTGAAAATGACTTGCCTCAGTTCCCGAAATTTTACATCTGCCCCATTTCATATACTCACCTATCTTGAGACAAAGTTTTTCAGCTTCCTTGAAAAAGGAGCACTTGTGAGGCAGATGCTCACCATAAGATCATACTGTACAAAGTGAATGCTAAGTTAAAGGAGGCAGTGGTGATGAGAAACAGTTCCCTGAGAAGTGGGAATATCCTTCTTACAGGGGTCTATGCCTGCTGTCTTGGAAATACATACTTAAAATTTTTAAGCTTTTATTTCAGTAAGAATTTGCCTAACACCCTCAACCTACCTCCTCTCATATTTTGTGCTAAAGTTCTTACAAAAGTGCTTAACGGCTAGAAATTAGAAAATAAACTGGTGTCTACTAGAAAGCCAAAATGAACATACTCAAGAGTCCCAAACAAGTTAGAATTTATATTTAAACTTCCTAGAGACTATATTTGTTCCTACAATGCCTTTGGTAGTTCTCAATTCTAGCAACATCCTAACTACCTAGAAAATGAAAAGCGTTAGGTGGTCAATATTCTCCTTTGAGTATTTACACTAAAGTAGATTCCCAAACAAGAAAACTGTTTATACACCACGTTAGAATGAGTGGTAAATTTAAATAGAATTGATGTCTTTTAAATAAAGAACTGCTTTAAATGGTTTCATTAATTATTGCCATCAGTACTATTAAAAGCATCTTTACACTAATGGATATGTAGAAAGCTTTTTTTCCCTTCCTAAGAATCTTTTCATTAGTTAGTTCTCAGAAAAGGCAGACATGGCTCCAGATGTGCTTTGTGTACAATAGTTGGGAAGAATAAGCTACTGAAGTTTTATTAAATATCTACTTTATAAAAGTACTAAAACTAGGAGTTAAATTATTCATTATTTAGTGGGTATCATTTTTAAGGGTGCCGCTAAAAACTCATAATCAAACTATAATTTTATTTTAATATATATCATAAATATATATACATAATATTATAAATATAATTATAAAATGTAAGATTCCCCTGCCAAGGGATCATCAAACATTTTATCCTTGAGCTTTGGGCTCTTTTCATTTAGAATGTTTAGAATCCTGTTCCCTAAAGGGGTTGGAACCTGGTTTTCAGAAGTGGGTGGGCAGGCATTGCATGCCTTGCTAGAAAGAGAAGGGCTATTCTGGGAAAAGGCTCTCTGAAACCAGAGAGGAGAGCAGAATTTTGTGGGTGCCATAAGAAGCAATGGTGTATCTCTCCACCACAGAGTGCCACAGAAAAGGAGTCTTCTCAGCTGGGTGACAGCTGCTTGGATGTCTATGAAGGTAACTCAGTTTCTCACCTTGAATTGAGTGCTTTGTCTAAGTCCAATAGAGAGGACCTTGGGTGAGGGCCAGAGCTCTGAAAACTTTTAGAAGATGATCTGGGCCAACATTTTACAGAGCATCATTTAGCAAGAAGCAATGGTAACTTCAGAGGACCGGAGGCTAGACCTTTCTCACAATTTCATGGCTTTGATACATGGCAGGTTTCATGTATAATCCTAACAAGGGAAAGAAAGCACTGAAGAATTTCTGTGGATAGACTTTTTTTTGACCTAGGCAAGAGGCAATATGCAGCTGGACTTAGTATTTTTTAAATAAAGTATTTTTAAAACAAAAAATATTTCTAAATTTATAATTATGTTATAATTATATAATAAATAATGTTACTGATAAGTATCAAAAGTAAGACTATAATATTATTCTCTCTCTCCCTTCTAATCATTTCTACTTTTCTACATATACATAGAGAGCCAGATGTGTAAATATGTATCTTTTTACACATACTTACATACAAAAATGTACAAAGATCTGTAGGTTTTTTTTTTTTTTTTTTTGAGACAGAGTTTCGCTCTTGTCGCCCAGGCTGGAGGTGCAGTGGCCCGATCTCAGCTCACTGTAACCTCAGCCTTCTGGGCTCAAGCGATTCTCCTGCCTCAGCCTCCTAAGTAACTGGGATTGCAGGCGCCTGCCACCACGCCCGGCTAATTTCTGTATTTTTAGTAGAGATGGGTTTCACCACGTTAGCCAGGCTGGTCGCAAACTCCTGATCTCAGGTGATCCACTTGCCTTGGCGTCCTAAAGTGCTGGGATTACAGGGGTGAGCCACCGCACCCCACCAAATATCTGTGGTCTTTACATGTGTGAGTCTTTCCCTTTCTTCCTGTAACTCTCAATCATCGTTCCCTTTCTCTTTCTCAATATATTCCTCTATTTATTTATCTTTATTCGGGTATAAGTACAGATATCTCTATTATTCTCTTAAGGTAAACAAATTTTGCTTAAAGGTGTACACTTGTATTAGGGTTCTCTAGAGGGACAGAACTAATAGGACAGATGTATATATAAAGTGGAGTTTATTAAGAAGTATTGACTCACACGATCACAAGGTGAAGTCCCACAAAAGGCCATCTGCTGAAGAGCAAGGAAGCCAATCTGAGTCCCAAAACCTCAAAAGTAGGAAAGTTGACAGTGCAACCTTCTCTCTGTGGTCAAAGGCCTGAGAGCCCCCGGCAAACCACTGGTGTAAGTCCAAGAGTTCAAAAGCCGAAGAACTTGGAGTCTGATGTTCGAGGGCAGGAAGCATTCAGTGTGGGAGAAAGATGAAGGCTGGAAAGCTCAGCCAGTCTAGCCTGCTTTTATTTAAGCCATGATGGCAGCTGATTAGATGGCACCCACCCAGATTGAGGGTGGGTTTGCCTCTCCTAGTCCACTGACTCAAATTTTAATCTCCTTTGGCAATGCCCTCACAGATGTACTCAGAAACAATACTTTGCATCCTTCAATCCAATCAAGTTGACATTCAATATTAACCATCACAACACTGTCTGGGCAATCAAGTTTCCTGATTCACTCATGACTGTCTCAGTTTTAGAACTAGTCTCATGTCCCAAGAAGCTGCTCAGTACCAGGCAAATTGGGACTGTTGGTCATATAATATTCAATGAAGCTTTCAAACAAAGAAATTAAAACACAAAAAGTCAGGAAGTTGTAATGTAAAAATGCATCTGATAATTCATAATACATGATGAATATAGAGTTACATGTAAATAATTCCAACTTTAGACCAAAAAATATAAAAAAATTAAAAAAAAATGCCCTAAGAAATTAAGATGTGCTACTTAAAAAAAATTTTACTCAGGTCAGGAAAAAGGCAAAATACACTACTTCATTCTTAAAATTGAACTATTTGGAAATGTCGTATAATAACTGTATATTTAAAAAGAGTAAGGTCACCATTAGGAGAATAAAAATGGATTTTATGAAACACTTATGTATGTGATACACACATATATGAATATATACATAAATTATATGCCAATCTGCTTTGTTATTTCTGGTTTCTCATGAATACCTTTGTATTTCAAGAAATATACATTTACATCATAATTTGCAAAGGCTGCACAGCATTATATTTTATAGAATTGTTATACTTCTGACAGCTAAAAGCAGACTCTGAAACCAAATAATCCTTTTGATTTTGGGCAGACTAGTGAATATCTCTACGCCTCGGATGGGAGAATTAAATTCTTTGATACTAGTAAGCATTTGTAAAAGTATATGGTGCAAGAATGTTATTGTTATTAAGGCACCATAATATATTTAATGTATGCAATTCATACAGGTCCAACTTTTTCCTGTAAAATAACTTCAATTCAATTATGAGGAAAACACTATGCGTATTTCACAGTATTTTATTCATAAACGCCTTTATTTTAGCAATCAATAAAAACCATTAAAATCCAAGCTCTTCCAGAAATTCCCAGGTTCCCAAATGGCGCTTAGAGTAAAACCTGTGACCTTTCAAATTTCACGTGCTGACATATATCTGAAATAATATAAGCTTATGTATAAAGTCTCATAATATTCATGAAGATCCCCAAATCAATCAAATAAGAATAGTATCTGTCACATAAAATTTGTGTATAATCCCAACTCTGAAAATGTATAACCTGAGTAGTTCTTAAAAATAAAACGCCAAGGAATAATTCAGAAGAATATATATTTTTTATTTTCTTAGTCCACAGGGGGAAAAACTAGTTTGTATTGGGTTAATACCAGAAAGTATACTTCATCTAATTGGATCTATCTTGTCTAAGCCCTCATTTTAAAGGTTAATGTTCTGAGCCCCATGGGTTGCAAAAGTGATTTTTCCAAGATCGAGTAGCTACAGCTTGAATAGCCCCATATTCTCAACCCTTTTGGGAGCATCTCTCATTGTATTTTACGCTCCCAGAAGGATAGAACTCTTCCCAAATCCTCTGAGGTTTCAGTGGGAAAGCAGTGAATGATTTGTCAGAAACAAACCCACTCCTAGTCAATGTCTCCAGTGTTATTCTCTTCCTTACATTTGATTTTGATTTTGATTCCTGTGTTTCTGGGTGTGGCTTACTCCTGCTACTACATTCTCCAGGCACATTTCTAATATAAGGGTGTTGGGAATGGTTCACTTCTACTGAAAACGTGAGGGTAACAACAAGCAATTGCAACAAAAAGGAGGAGGTAAGTTAGCATTTAATATCAGGTATCGCTATTCTAAAAAAATTTAGCCATTTACTGCCATAGAAATGTTCCCAAGTGACTACAGCTCTTCCGAGGATTCCATCTCCTGCTACACATTGAATCTTTCTCCTGCTCTTCTACTTGTTCTGTCTCTCTCTCTGCACTTCCCCTTGCCCACAGTTCTCCTATTTTTCTTCTCTTCATGATAAAACTTTCCTCTCTTTCATCTTAGACTATCCCTTAAAAACTCAAAGTTTTTATTTCTTTAATATGTATCCCTCCTCTGGAATTTTTACATTTTTCACTTAAAGATAATATGCATTTTTTCAAAGATAATAACACCTCCTGACTTCTTACAAGCATTATTATACTTTCCTAAAAGACCAAACTTTGACAGTCAGTGTTTATCTTAGGTAGGTTTCTCCCACAACATTTTTGAAACAACATATTGATTGTAGAGGATATTTCTTGGGTCATATTGAAAAAAACAAAAAAATGTTTCCCAGTGGGAGACTATGGCTTCATGGAGATGCAGATTCTCCTAGGAAACAGCTTTTTAAGACAAGAACTGTGTATTTGCTCCTCTTTAGTAGGTTTCCAAAACAATAAGTTGAAGAGCCTGAGGGACATTCTGCAACTCTGTCACATTTCTACAATGGATCTGAAAGTGTCTGTAGCCTCTCTCACAGCCAGAGAGGATCTCTGCGTATTGGTGAGTCATGCTAAATGCACACCAGAGCAATCGGGGAGGGAACAAGGCAGGCACGTCCTCTCCTGCATTTCTGTGTCCTCTCCCTGACTCCAACCCATTAAGGCATAGGAATGTTTTAAGATGCCAGATGCAGACCCACACATGGAGGCACACTTTGAGGTTCAGGGGTATGGGGCACAGTAGGCACATGTGTCTTCATTTCCTTTTACATACACTCATAGCCCATTTTTTAAAAAGTTTCCCCCAGACTCTGTTTATCCCATTGTCTTTTTCTCAGGCATCACAATTCCTGGCATTTACTCTATACCTGGCCTCCCCTCATTCGGAACTTCACCTTTGGTGACTTGCTCTGTCCTTGCTCAAATTTGATTTGGATTTATTTCTTGTTTTTAACTTCACTCTGCCTTTGTCCCTTTGACTGCTCTACCTCAGAGAGCACCACGGGCAGAGGGGGCTCTACCATGAAGCTACTGAACTTTCAGCTTCAAGGCCACTCACATGCACGGTCCCGTTTGAAGGCTGCCAGTTCCAAAAAAAAAGTGTAGAGAATTTTGGGGAGAAGTTAGGTTGCGTTTGTATGTAAGTATTTCCGAAAAATTGTCTAAAAGAATCTCAAAAGAAAGAAACCTGGGTATCCAAGACTTCAATAAGTGTTTGTGATATTTTCTTAGTCTAAATAAATATTCTGGTCGGGCATGGTGGGTAGTTGATGCCTGTAATCCCATCACTTTGGGAGGCTGAGGCAGGCAGGTGGATCACTTGAGCCCGGGAGTTGGATACCAGCCTGGGCATCATGGCAAAACCCCATCTTCATTTAAAAATTAATTAATTAATATTATATTTAATGCCTAATTATGAACTTGTGATTTTTGTATTAACTTTCCTAAAGAGGCAACCTCAAATTGCATGAGCTTGAGGCCCCTTGCAGCCTGGATCAGACCTTGACCATCAGATAGAGATTATATTCATGATGGCTTCCAAACAGTATCCAGACAGACTAAGTTGAAGCATTCTCAGTGCTTGAGAAAATAAGGTGACCTTGAAGAGCAAAATTAGAAAATTCAGCAAATTTATTAAAATATTCACTACCCGGAGAAGTGCTACCTAAGAATTAGAATATATACCAGGTATAAAGTGCAAATATTAAGTCCTGGGATCTTATTCAATTCTTCTCTTTAAGAGAACAGAGGCCACATGTGACTTTATCATGATTATATCCCAGTTTCTATATGATTCCTGGCACAATTGGTGCTTAATAAATACTTGTAAAATAAATAAATTAATAGGTGAGTGTAACAGAAGTCATAGCCTTATAAAATCACTGATTAAAAGGTTTTAATTATCTAGAGAGAGAATGCAAGAACTGGAATGTGTCGATATTTTCAGCACTGATTAAAAAGTTTTAATTATCTAAAGAAAGAAAGCAAGAACTAGAATGTATTGATATTTTCAGCACTGTCTAAGGAAGACTGTGTCCTGGCATCCAAAGACAGTAGGTGCCCTTGACAGCCCTCTACGTGCTGTGGAGTTTTCACTGTGGTACAGCAGGACTCCAGGGCACTGTAATTAAGACTGTACACTGTCTCCCCTCACTTGGATTTTCATCCTTGCAAGCCACCTGCTGGTTTGTAAGGCAGTGTCTTGTGCAGAATATCCTTGAAGGAGAGATTATGTTGACCAGAAAAGTAAGTTCTAGTCATTTAAGTTCACATAAAGTTTCTATTTCTCATTGCAATGTAATATTTTTTCTTCTCATAAGAGGTAATGGAATAGAGATATCATTAGTAATAACTTGGAAAAAATAAGAAGACCCTTAAAGGGTGAAACTAGCAAAAGGTATTCTCAGCTGCCTGGAGAACTGCTGTGTACATAAGGCTTTGGACTGTGGAAATTAGTGGCCCTGTCTGGCTGTCCTTTTAAAATTCAGTTGCAAACCATGGTCACTGCACTGGGCTACCGCTTCTCTCTTCTGCAAAGGCTCAGTTAGAGTGTCAGGTGGCTCCAACAAAAACACCAATATATCACTCCTTAACATCACCACATTAGAGAGACCCAACTCTATGCTGTTCTCAGCCAGAATTCCCAGAACATGATCAGTGGTATTTTACTTCCTAGAAGAAATGCTGGCAATTACAGAATGGAACCTCTAGAATTAAGTAGGCAAAAGGATGGGAGGGTTGTGGCATTCAGAGAAGACACATCCAAGTCTGGCTGCTGACAACAAATCTTCAGGGACTTGCAGTCCTAGACCAGATTGATCTCCCTCATTTTTCAAGATACTGTCACTAAATAGAATTTAAAAAAGGTGGAGTGTTAAGGAGATATGAGATATTTGCTACAAAATTCCTGTCTTATAATATTTATTCATTACTGTGGTGGCTTTAACATATGTTCACACCTGATTTGACACTGCTCCCTCTGAGAGATGAAGAATAATTTTCTTACCTTGTTTGTGAGCTGGACTCAGTAACTCATTTCTAGTGAATAGATTATGGAGACGGAAAAATAGTTGACAGTGGAGAAACTGGCAGACTCCACTTTCAATAAATGATGTTGAGGGATCCACACATTTAAAATTAAGCCCAGGGTCTTCATCTGTAATGGTTTCCTGTCTCATTGGAGAGGTCAAACCTGGCTTAACACTCCAGGTTTCAGACTAATATGATTCATCACCTAGACTCACCATGTTGAACTCTCAAATGTTGCTCTTCCACAAGTATTTCTTCTTTTTCAGTGCTACCACCCTGAGGATGATAATGATAATTGGATAGTTATACCCTATAATCCATGAAGCTCAGAAGGCAAATTGAGCCTCATGTTGTGAACCCCTGTTGTATGAGAAAACTAACAATGGCCTTATAATTCTGTTCTGACACAGGGCCTTCCATTGCACTGTGGTTAAAGAAAAGCCCCCCATATCCTTAACTGGGCCTATGAGAGCATTCACAGACTCTTTTTACTATTCAAGCTTTGTCATGGGACAGGCTTGCTCTGTTTCTGCATCATAATACATACTCAATTGATATGTGTTGAATGAATGAATGAAAAATTCTTAAAAATGATTGGAATAGACAATTTAAATTTATACCATAATCTAGTGAGATAGACAAGTGACACATTATTAAGTACAACATTAGAAGAGCTGCCAAAATAACATGAAGAAAGCAAAGTATACGGCTTGACTGTGGAGGTCAGGTAAGGAATTCAGAGCTGGTGACTTAATGACTGAGTTTTGAAGGCTATTTAGGAGCTCATTCTTCATTCAAGGGAAGAATGACATTTCAGATTAGGGTGCGGCATACACAGATGGCCAAAGCTTTAAGACAAACCAGCACTTTTAGATATTTTTGAATCCTTTCCTTATTTGAAATATTCCTTCCCCTTTTTTGAGCTTATATGAATCCTTAGCTTATATGAGCTAATCACACTTAGAATTTGTGGGCTGACTCAGTATGCTTACTTGAATCTACTGTTACTTAAACACAATGTCTGTGTGCTTCAAACACAAATAGTCTTCTTTACATGGCCCTGGATAATGAGAAGCTTAGAAGATACTTCAGTTTTAGATAGATAAAAAAAATAGTCAATCAAATTGAGTCATCATTTGTCTGCCAATATAAAATTTTAAATTCCGGAGATATTTGTCCTTTAACAGAAATAAGATTGTGAAAATCCGTAGCCACAACTAATAAAAACAAAGCAAAATTATTTTTGAACTTGAGTCCTAGGAAGAGATGGATAAAAAGTCATGTACTTAACTGTGAACACACTGATAGGACATTTTTTGCTGAAGAATAAAGAGAGAACATGCATATAGTGTATTACTTTAAAAAATACCTAAGTAGCTTTAAAAATATCTACTAGAAGGCATTCATGAGACTCAATAAAGACCCTGAACTCATGCTACAGGGGTAAAAAAAGTAAAATTATTTTCATATTTCTATTCTTAAATAGTGCAAGTTGTCGATAATTGCCATAATCTAAATGCCCAACTGACAAGTGTGGTCCATAAAAAAGCATGGAAGTCGTAAATGGTGCAGAATTTTTCTCTGGTCCTGGGATGATAATCACTCATTTCCATGAATAATGCCACATTTCACATTGTCTGAATCCTGGCCATTAGTAATCTTAGTGAACATTCATGTAGCATTCTCTTTTGTGGAAACCCTTCTAAAAGATGGCTTACAAGAATACATCATTATATATGACTCCAGCCTCTTTATGTAGGGAGGAAATAAATCAGTATTGAGTCCATTAAAGAAGCTGACTCTGGGGAATTAATTTGGAGCTTGAAATATGCAGGCTGAAGAAATCCAGTACTAACAGGCATAAAGTAATGTAAAGAGCAAGACCTTTGTTATCAGGCTACCTGACTGTCAATCAAAGTTCTGCCACATATACACCCACTGTAAGACCTGGAGGCACAATTTGTCACTTTCCTCAGTTAAAAAATTAATATTACAATTTCTATCTCCTAGGGTTGATATAAAGAGATACAAAAAGTGTGTGGCAAATAATATCTTTAAACGTTTGCTGTCATTTCCTCATTTCCCCCACCCTGCCTTCAATATTTTATTTTATCCCTTGCCTTTCTATTGCAGATAATTAGGTCACTCTAACTCCTAATGATTCAGAAAAGCAATGACAAAGCAGAGCATGAGAAAGATACAGATAAAGCTTTAGCTTTTTGTCTTGGAAGCATTCTCTCTGAGGGCATTTCAGGTGGGGGAGAATACAGGTGGTATAAGAGGAGAGTTCCCTTCACTGAGGTTAAAGAATTTGAACCCAAGAGGCTGAGATTATGCCACTGTACTCCAAGCCTCGAGGACAGAACGAGACTCTGTCTCAAAAAATAAAAATAAAAAAAGAATCATTCTCTTTAATGGGACTAGGAATAAAGGTTAGGAGAAGTAAAGGTAAGTAGACACAAAGGGTTTTATTTTATTTTATTTCAGAAAGAAAACATGAGACTTCAATGTCTAGGTCTACAATACAGCATTGCTAATTGTAAGTACAGTATTTTATAGCTCTCTAGAACTTATTCACCTTGCTTAACTGAAACTTTATACTCATTGATTAGCAACTGCCCATTTTCTCCCTGACCCCTGGCAACCACTGCTGTTCTTTTTGATTCTATAAGTTTAACTATTTTAGTTCCCTCATAGAAGTGGAATCATGCAGTATTAGTCTTCCTGGGACTGGCTTATTTCACCTCCCATAATGTTCTCCAGGTTAATTTATGTTGCTGCATATTGTAGAATTTCTTTCTTTTCATGGGTGAATGATATTCCATTGTATGTATATACCACATTTTATTTATCCATTAAGACGCATAGAGTTTCTTAAAGGAATCCCGTGCCTTCCTGTTGCAGGAAGTCAGGGACCCCGAAAGGAGGGACCAGCTGAAGCCATGGCAGAAGAACATAAATTGTGAAGATTTCATGGACATTTGTTAGTTCCCCAAATTAATACTTTTATAATATCTTATGCCTGTTTTTACTGCAATCTCTGAACATGAATTGTGAAGATTTCATGGACACATATCACTTCCCCAATCAATGCTCTTGTGATTTCCTATGCCTGTCTATTTTAATCTCTTAATCCAGTCATCTTCGTAAACTGAGGATGAATGTCACCTCAGGACCCTGTAATGATTGCGTTAACTGCACAAATTGTTTAAACAATATGAAATCTGGGCACCTTGAAAAAAGAACAGGATAACAGTGATGTTCAGGGAACAAGGGAGATAACCTTAAAGTCTGACTGTCTGTGGGCGAGGCGGAACAGAGCCATATTTCTCCTCTTTCAAAAGCAAATAGGAGAAACATCACTGAATTCTTTTTCTCAGCAAGGAACATCCCTGAGAAAAAGAATGTGTTCCCAAGGGGAGATCTCTGTAATGGCCGCTTTGAGAATGTCTGTCTTTTATGGTTATAGATAAGGGATGAAATAAGCCCCGGTCTCCCGTAGCATTGCCAGGCTTATTAGGACGAGGAAATTCCCGCCTAATAAATTTTGATCAGACCAGTTATCTGCTCTCAAACCCTGTCTCCTGATAAGATGTTACCAATGACAATGTGTGCCCAAAACTTCATTAGCAATTTTAATTTTGCCCTGGTCCTGTGATCTTGCCCTGCCCCCATTTGCCTTGTGGTATTTTATTACCTTGTGAAGCACGTGATCTCTGTGACCCACACCCTATTTGTACACTTCCTCCCCTTTTGAAAATCACTAATAAAAACTTGCTGGTTTTGTGGCTTGGGGGACCTGCTGACATGTGATATCTCCCCCGGACACCCAGCTTTAAAATTTCTCTCTTCTGTACTCTTTCCCTTTATTTCTCAGACTGGCCGACACTTAGGGAAAATAGAAAAGGACCCACGTGAAATATTGGGGGCTGAATTTCCCCCGACACCCTCCTCCTTAGCTGGCCTCCTGAGGCTTAACTCTAGGAGGAAGGGTATTAGGGCCTGAGTGAGGTAAGTAGGGCCCTGTTTGGGGCAACAGAGGTGGCAGCCCAGAGTTGGGGGTTAGAGCCCAAGAAGGGGAAGAAGAGCAATCCTTGGTCTGGCCTTGGTGGCAATAACCCAGATTAGTATGTTGGAACCCTAGCAAGTTGTAAAGGATGTATGTGAGAGAAGAACCGTAGTTGCTAAACAGGAAACTCATTATATGCAATAAAGACTGATTAAATAAGCACAGATTTTAGGATAATGGGAATAGGTTTCTCACGTTTGAGAGAGGTACAAATATGAGAAGAAGTAAAACAAGTATGAGGTTCTTGGCATTGCAGTGGAATAGAAGTTTCAGTGTGAACTTAGGGTTTTCAATATAAATAGAAATGAAAATAAATTGAGATGTGTGTGTGTGTATGTGTGTGTGTATGTGTGTGTGTGTGTGTGTGTGTGTGCATATATACATACACATGTGTATAGATCCATGCTTTCCCTAGCTTTTTCCAGTGAGAGGGCCTGAGAGCAGCCATGTTCCAGTAGGTATGAGCATGTGCAGCACCCATGTCTTGGTGTCTAAATACTATGTTCCACTGAAATGAACATGTATTCCTTAGAGAAAATGACTGATGATAGGATCCAGAAAGTCCACGATGAGCCTGGAATATTTTACCATTCCAGGAAATAAGGAAAGGCCCAAAGAATGGTGGGATCCTATCAAAAGAACAAAGAAGACAACATGGAGAGGTCCCTATTAGACAAGTCTGGAAAAAATTGAGCATTCAAATAAATAATGATTGACACAAATTATGTTCCGCTGTATAAAGTAGAAAACCCCAAGTCCCTACTGATATAAATGGTATGAGTGAGTAATTAGATGGAAGAGAAAGTTTTCTTTACAGAAGAAGGCCGATTAATCAAAGCAGTAGAAAGGGTGGGGTGAGAAAATCTCCTTTTGGTGAGTGGAATAGTGATAATAAGACAAAGAAACATTAATAATTTGAATACGAAAAGGTAATATTTGTCAAGAAATGAAATATTTACAGAGTCTCAAAGTACTTCTGCAAACATACTGATAAATTACCAGAAGAAAAGGAATAAACTAACAGTGAAAAAATTTTGCAGACACAATTTTAATCAAAATACCAAACAGAACCATTAATGAGACAATCCAAAATTTTACACTAGCTGAAAAAATGCAATGAGAAGAACACACTATCATTTTTATGATATCCCTGCCCAAATGAATAATCTGAATTTAATCATGAACAAACATCATCTACTCCCAGATTCTGGGATGTTACACCAAATGACTGGGCTGTAATTTTTGAAGGAATAAAATTTGTGAAAGTTGGCCAGGCATGGCGGCTCACAACTGTAATCCCAGCACTTTGGGAGGCCGAGGTGGGTGAATCTCCTGAAGTCAGGAGTTCGAGACCAGCCTGGCCAACAATGGTGAAATCCTGTCTCTACTAAAAATACAAAAAAATTAGCCAGTTGTGGTGGAGTGCACCTGTAATCCCAGCTACTCGGGAGGCTGAGGCAGGATAATCACTTGTACCTGGGAGGCAAAGGTTGCAGTGAGCTGAGACCCCACCATTGACTCCAGCCTGGGCAATAGGAGGGAAACTCCATCTCAAAGAAAAAAAAAAAAAAGAAAAAAAAGTAACGTTTGTGAAAGTCAATAAAGACTGAGGGACTATTTCATATTGAAGAAATATGACAACTAAAATGCCACTGCAATACATCAGAGATAATGAATCGATGGCAGCAATATATTAATATTAATTTCATATTTTACTTTTTCCCAGGACATTAGAATCTATTTGTTGGGCATTACAGTAGTTACATTTTTCCGAGCTGAGACACTTTAGGAGTCTAGAATGGGGGTTGCTGAAAAAGAAGACAATTGTTAGGAAGGTATAGCTGTGTGCTAAGTTGCTATGTTCTTCTAGAGTAACTTTTTGCCAGTTGGAATGAGAAAAAAACCTTCTCTCAGTTTGCTCAGAGACAGAATAGATAAATGAGCACTGGGCTTTGCCTCCCAGAAGTGGTGTGCAGCACAGTATACAAGCATATCACTGCTGGTTTCCAATTCCGCCAATGCTTTGACATGGTATGACAAAGGGATATTATGTTTATGGGCCCATATTTCTTCCTTACTCAGCCTCAGAATTCAAATCCAAGTGCGGGAGATGAATCAGTAAAAAAATTGGTAGATGGTTTAGTGTTTTAATGCACATTATAAAACTTTAATGTTGAATGAATCAACAAGTAAGTTAATGGAAGAATGCATAGATGAACAAACATTGTATCAAGAGCATCAACGCCTGACTCCTCCTCTTCAAAGAATGATTGCTAATTAAGT